>NT_187615.1:0-235827 GCF_000001405.40 Homo sapiens | reverse complement strand
TAATCCTGGATGGCTTAGAAAATTTAAAGCTGGAGTCTTATGGTGGGTCTTGGATGAGCTGGACTCCAGTATGACTGCACACGTTGATAGAATATTGAAAAAATACCTGTTAGTAAATAATTTCTGCTGCCTATGGCTCAGAATTGCCTGTTCCCCACTGCCACCCTGGCCAGTGGCTCCTCCTTTATGATCCAGGAATCAAAGATTCAATGCCCATTGCAATAGGAGATTCCAAGATGCTACTCTAGGGTCTGTATCCATTCTGACCGGTCGATGCTTGTGCTTACCTGTTGTTAAATATTATAAATAATTGCCCCTGGTATGTTTCACTTCACTTATAATGCATAAATATTTCTAAGGAGATGTAGAAAGACAAAGTCCTCTGCTAAAATCAGTTAGATACACTGTGAAAGAAGCTTTGACTTTCATAGGTGATGATTAAGACCCTATCATACAATCGTATTAGAAGGACCACTTAGTAAAGCCATGCCTATTCATTTATCTTAGGTGATTGAAGTACTTAGGTGATTAAAATGAGCAGCATTTAAAGAGAGATTGCTTTATCATTTATTCAAAATGCATTTGTTTCTTTTTCTGCACATGACTTATATTAACTCTTCACTGATAAATTAGGCTTTTGCAGTTGTGTTTTGGGCCTGTCCATTTATATAATTCTTTACCCCTTTTAGAGGAATTACATGATTTATAAAGATATAGCAATTATATAACAAGTTGTAGATAAAATACTAAAGGCATCAAGACTTGGAGGTCATTACTCTTTGCCAGTCATGTGTCATTTAAACCAATTCAAATGTCCATTACTTTATTCAAGACTGTCTACACAATCTTTCATTCTTTCTCCTTATCCTTATTCCCCCCTCTCTCTCATTCTCTCTCTCTCTCCCCACAATCTGAGCAGCTACAAGCAAAGTCCTTCAAGATGGCAGGGCCATAGGGCAGAAGGCATCCAGGTCCCTAATTTGGAGGAAAGCTGCCCAAGACCATCTACAGTGGACTTGCAAGTGTGAGAAAAAACCTTGGCTGGGCTAAGCCACTGATATTGGAGGTTGTTTGTTTCTTCAGCCACCACTGATGGCCCTAATGCAGGTCTTAAACTTTTATTTCCTCTTTCTGTTGATGCAAATTAAGAAATAAAACTTAGACATTAATCATTTTGATTTAAATGTTACTCTCCTTCCACAGAAATATGAGATTTTATTGTTCCACTCTCCCTTTGAGAAATATAAGAATTATTTGGTTATTTTAGATGAAACAACTCTAACACCAGTTTTGTTCAATTCAATTATCCCTGCAGAATGACATTATTTTATCAGAGATTTGGGAATTCAGAAGTTAAGATTTTTTTTAACAGCAAAACGTTAGTAATGAAAATTGTCTTAGTCTGTTTAGTGTTGCTATGAAGGAATACTTGAGGCTGCATAACTTATAATGAAAAGGGTTTATTTGGTTCACAGTTGTGCAGACTATACAAGAAACATGTCACTGGAATATATACCTGCTGAGAGCCTCAGGCTGCTTCCACTCATGGAGGAAGGTGAAGGGGAGTTGGCATGTGCAGAGATCATATGGTGAGATAGGGAGGGAGGGAGGGAGTAAGAGAGAGAGAGGGAGAAGAGAGGGAGAAGAGGAGAAGAGGTACTTGGCTCCTTTTAACAAATAGCTCACAGGAACTAATAAGAGTGAGAACTCATTCACCCACAACTGCCTCAAACACCTACTAAGTGCAATTCAGGAAAGGCGTTATTCTGTTCATGAAGTATTCACCCCCCAACCTAAACACTTTTCATTAAGTGCCACCTCCAACATTGGGGATCATATTTCAACATGAGCTTTGGAGAGGACAAATATCCAAACTATAGCAAAGATCAAATTTCATGTGCAAAAATTCTTTTCCCCCAGAATATATTTTATATGAGTATAATAGACAGTTTTAGACCACTCACCACTAAATATCCAAAAAAAAAGTAAATTTAGCGGCATGAGAAGATTTATCCATGTTTTTAAATTTATACAAAGAAGGTTTGGAATATTTACTAAAATGTCCAGTTTTCTGTCAGAATTGTGGGATAATATAGACAATACTTTCAGTAGTCTCTCAGATAAGGACTTAAAACATATCAGACCACAGAAGTAATTTCATTTTCCTCTTTTCCCAGGAAAAAAACATTAGCACACAAAACATACATAATTAGCATTTTGCTCTTGTTTGGCAGGAATGTATCATTTTTCCCTCTAGAAGTTGGCCTAGAACCAGTTAACCCCCACAGAATAATCAAAAATGAGAATTCCTATTTTGAAGCATTAAGGCACTGTATGAATTACAAGAGTCCAATCTTCTCTTGCTGAAGGGAACCCCTTGAGTTATAAGCCTATGTTTGTTAGTTAAGCAGAGTTGCATCCCACTGGTTGCTTCTATAGGTAATATTTCTATTCTGTATGTTTGACATAGAGACACTTTCATCTGTTGTTTTCTCTCTCAATCCTGATGCACAGAATTGGGTGAACACCTACATGCTTTGGTAAAGATTTAGTATGTTAACTTATTTCTCTATATGATTCTGTACCAGATGGAGGTCTTGCAAGACGCTTTGGTAGAATTTGGTAGGGAATAAATATTCTTTCAATGAACTAAGAAATAAATGACTATTTGGACATGTTCGGGTTTGGTAAGTGCTATTTAACTGAAGACAAACAAAAAAACAAAACAAAACAAAAAAAACACCAACCAAACAAACAAAAACAAAAAACAAACAAAAAAACTATGGCATACCCAAAATGGTGACCAAACCTGAAGTGTTACCATTTGGAGCTTCCTGATCGTATAACAGCTACTAGCTAAATGTAAAGGTCATCTCCCCTTTTGCCATAACATTATGATCAAAAACATGAACCCATGCTTTTAAAAATAACTCCTTTGGCATCAAGTGGGACAGGAGAGAGAAAAAAGAATAAGAAAGTAGAGTCATAAGTTTCACTGCTCTTCCTGCCAATATATATAAACCCACATCCAAAACACATCTCATTTACATGCCTGTTTATTTTGTTTTCATGGCTGTCTGGAAGCTGGGCCCTTTCCTTTTTTTCTAAATTGAGACAAAGGGATATTAAGATAAAGTAAACTCTGACCCTGCTCAGCTGTGTCCATCCCCAAAATGCCTTGCCATCGCCACCTGGACAAATGTTCTTTATCACTGAGGGACTCAGTGAATGGGTAGGTGGGTCACTGGAGATTTGGAAAGAATACTGTGAATTCTTTTGTTCATAAATATTAAAAAATAAATTTTGCTCTAGGAGTTACTAATTTTACTTCGTTTCAGGAAGATTTAAGGTATATGAAAGGGACATAGTGGGAGACGAAATCATTTCCTAGAAATAGAAATTGAATTTGTAGAGATTTTAGAGTAGAATACATCATGCTTGAGCAGCAATTATTGATAAATTTTTGTCACTATTATTAACAAGCTCTTATCTGTGTCAAGCATTACTCTAAGTATTTGAGAAATATTAACACATTTAATCTTAATAACAATCCTGTGAGATATGATTATCCTCATTTTACAGATGAGGAAATAGGCTCATAGAACTTAAGACACTTATCCAAAGTCAAGTGTCTTGCATGTCTGTTTACAGCAAGTAAATTGAAGATCCTGATTTGAATTTAGATAGTATAGCTCTCAAGTCCTATATTATTCTACAACTATCAGCTCATTATCCATATTCCTTCCCTCGTGAAACTCCCTCTTTATAAACGGAATATAACTTTCCTCTTTGGATACAGGATGCATCCTTGATCAAAACTTTTCTTTAAAGTTTCTTTTCTTCCCAACACTGAGTTACTGTCATGTCTGTAGGCAAGCACTTATTGCCCAGTCCTGAGGCCACATTAGGTTAGGTTTTAGAAGTAGGAGATTTTGAGTAATCGAATCCTCCAGAATTCAGTTCCCTATTTTAGAGCACACGGTTTTGTCTCATAGAGTTAGTGATTCCTCTCTGTTTCGTCTGATTTCCAAGGGCTGCGTTCAGTTTCCAGTCCACCTTTCAGAACTAATTTTTCCATTCTTAACTATTCCCTTTCTATCTTAAATGAAAATGGTCAATTTGATGGTGGTAGAAAAGGCTTTCTGGAGAATAACAGCAAGGAGGTTCAGCATTGCCTCACTGAGTGAGAAAAATATGCTGGTGAAAGATTTTCTATTTTTCAAAGAGAATAAGAAATCTCCACATAAATCTCTGCAAACTCAGTCTGGACCATAAAGTAGAAAGGAGCTTTGAAAATGGGCTGTAAACCGGGCATAACCAACAACCTGTGCAGGCAATGATTCATTCTGGAATTGTTCTGCTGAAATGTAAACTCAAGGGCAAAATGGATGCTGCATGCTTTGAGTTCTTAGCCATGTCACCTCCATGGTCTGGAAGAGGAAGGCCGTGAAGAAAACGATATGAGTTGTAAAAATCAACAGTTTCTAAGAGCTTCCAAATAAAACAAGCCCTTTATTCTCTAGGTTCACAGCTCCCCAACATCCACAGCACATACTACCATTGCCTACCCTTAGTAAACAGGGTCCCTTCCTTGGCTTTTTAGTGCCCTTAAAGTACATTGATTCAGATTTTCCGAACCCTCATGATATGACCACTACTGATCTATGTCATCCTTTGCAACTTTTTTTTTCTTTTCTCAACTTTTATTTTAGATTCAGGGAGTACATGTGCACGTGTGTTACATGGGTAAATTGCATGTACCTGGGTATGGTGTAAAAATGATTTTGTCACCCAGGCAGTGACCATAGTATCTGATAGGTAATTTTTTGACCCTCCCCCTACCCACTAAGTAGGCCCTGGTGTCTATTGTTCCCATTTTTGTGTGCATGTGTACTAAGTGTTTAGTTCCCACTTATAAGTGAGAACATATGGTATTTGGTTTTCTGACCCTGCGTTAATTCACTTAGAATAATGGCCTCCAGCTGCATCCATGGCTCTGAAAAATACATTATTTCATTATTTTATGGCTGCATAGTATTTCATGGTGTATATGGACCACATTTTCTTTATCCAGTACTGTTGATGGGCACCTAGGTTGATTCCTTGTCTTTGCTGTTGTGAATAGTGCATGTGTCTTTTTGGTAGAACAATTTATATTCCTTTGGGTATACACCCAGTAATGGGATTTCTGGGTTGAATGGTGGTTTCTGTTTTAAGTTCTTTGAGAAATGTCCAAACTGCTTTCCACACTGAACTAATTTACATTCCCAGCAGCAGTGTATAAGCCTTCCCTTTTCTCTGCAACCTTGCCAACATCTGTTATTTTTTGACTTTTTAATAATAGCCATTCTGTCTGGTGTGAGATGATATCTCATTGTGGTTTTAATTTGCATTTCTCTGATGATTAGTGATGATGAGCATTTTTTCATATGATTTTTGACTGTGTGGATGTCTTTTGAGAAGCGTCTGTTTGTGTCCTTTGCCCATTTTTAAATGGGATTGTTTGGGTTTTGCTTGATTTGTTACATTCCTTATAAATTCCGGATATTAGACGTTTGTTGGGTGCATATTTTGTGAATATTTTCTCCCATTCTATAGGTTGTCTGTTTGCTATGTTGATAATTTCTTTTGCCGTGTAGAAACTCTTTACTTAAATTAAGTCCCACTTGTTTATTTTTATTTTTGTTGCAATTGCTTTTGGAGAGTTCATCATGAAATTTTTGCCAAAGCCTATGTGCAGAATGGTATACGCTAGGGTTTTTTCCAGGGTTTGTACAGTTCTAGGTCTTACACTGAAGTCTTTAATCCATTTTGAGTTGATTTCTGTATATGGTGAAAGGAAAAGGTCACGTTTCAATCTTCTGCATATGGCTAGCCAGTTATCATAGCACCGTTTATGGACTACATAGTCCTTTCCCCATTGCTTGTTATTGCAGACTTTGTCAAAGATCAGATGATGGTAGGTGTTGCTTTATTTCTGGGTTCTTGAGCCTGTTTTACTGGTCTATGTGTCTGTTTTTGTACCAGTACCATGCTTTTTTGGTTACTGTAGCCTTGTAGTATAGTTTGAAGTTGGGTAATATGATGCCTCCAGCTTTGTTCTTTTTGCTTAGGATTGCTTTGCCTATTTGGGTTCTTTTTTGGTTCTATATGAATTTTAGAATAGTTTTTTCTAATTCTGAAAAATGGCATTGGTACATTGATGAAATAGCATTGAATCTGTAAATTGCTTTAGGCATTATGGCCATTTTAACAGTATTGATTCTTATGCATGAGCATGGAATGTTTTTCCATTTGCTTGTGTTGTCTCTGATTTCTTTCAGCAGCGCTGTATAATTCTCATTGTATAGATCTTTCACCTCCCTAATTAGCTGTATTTTTAGGTATTTTTTTGCGGCTATTGTAAATGGGATTATATTTTTGATTTGACTCCCAGCTTGGATGTTATTAGGGTATAGGAATGCTACTGGTTTTTGTACATTTATTTGGTAGGCTGAAACTTTACTCAAGTTGTTTATCACTAGTAGGTGCCTTAGATATAGACTATCGGGTTTTCTAGGTAAAGAATCATGTTGTCTTAAAGAGAGAAAGTTTGACTTCCTCTCTTTCTATTTTGATGCCTTTACTTTCTTTCTGTTGCCTAAATACTTTCACTAAGACTTCTAGTACTATGTTGAATAGAAGCAGCAAGAGTGGGCATCCTTGTCTGCTTCTGATTCTCAAGGGAAATACTTTCAGCTTTTGCCCATTCAGTATGATGTTGGCTGTGGGTTTGTCATAGACGACTTATTATTTTGAGGTATGTTTCTTCAGTGCATACTTTGTTGATGGTTTTAACATGAAGGGATATTAAATTTTACTGAAAGCCTTTTCTACATCTACTTAGATGATCATGTGGTTTTTGTTTTTAGTTCTGTTTATAGGATGAATCACATTTATTGATTTGTGTATGTTTAATCAACCTTGCATGTCAGGAATAAAGCTAGAATTATACTGGATTTGCTTTTTTAAATGCTGCTGGATTTGGTTTGCTAGTATTTTGATGAGGATTTTTACATCTATGTTCATCAGAGAAATTGGCCCGAGGTTTTCTTTTTTCATTGTGTCTCTGCCAGTTTTTGGTATTAGAATGATGCTGGCCTGATAAGATGAATTAGGGAGGAATCTCTTCTCCTCAATTTTTTTGGAATAATAATTTCAGTAGGAGTGGTATCAGCTCTTCTTTGTACCTCTGGTAGAAGTTGGCTGTGCATCCATTCAGTCCAGGGATTTTTCTGGCTGGTAAGTATTACTGATTTGGTTTTGGAACTCATTATTGGTCTTTTTAGGATTTCAGTTTCTTCCTGGTTCAATCTCAGGGGGTAGTATGTTTCTGGGAATTTATCTATTTTTTCTAGGTTTTCTAGTTTGTGCAGAGAGGTGTTCATGATAGTATCTGAGGGTTTTTGTATTTCTGTGGGGTCAGAGGAAATGCCACCTTTATTTCTGATTGTTTTTATTTCAATCTTCTCTCTCTTTTTCTTTATTAATCTAGCTAGCAGCCTATCAATCTTGTTTATTCTTTCAAATAACCATTTTTTTTGTTTCATTGATCTTTTGTATGGATCCCTGTATCTCAATTTCATTCACCTTAGCTTGGATTTTGGTTATTTTTTTTCTTCTGTTAGCTTTAGAGTTGATTTGCTCTTGTTTTTCTAGTGCCTCTGGGTGTGATATTAGGTTAATTTGAGACTTTTCTATTTCTTGATATAGGTATTTAGCACTATAAACTTTCCTCTCAACATTGCTTTAACTGTGTCCCAGAGATTCTGATATGTTGTATCTTTGTTTTCATTAGTTCGAAGAATTTTTAAATTTCTGCCTTAGTTTTGCTCTTTACCCCAAAATCACTTAGGAGCAGTTTGTTCAATTTCCATGTAATTGTATCGTTTTGAGAGATCTGCTTGGTATCAACTTCTATTTTTATTGCACTGTGGTCTGAGAATGTGGTTGGTATGATTTCATATTTTTTTAATTTGTTGAGAATTGCTTTATGGCCGAGTGTGCCATTGATCTTAGAGAATGTGCCATGTGAAAATAAGAAGAACGCATATTCTGTTGATTTTTTTGGGTGGAGTATTCTGTCATCACTGTTAGGTACATGTGGTCAAGTGTTGAGTTTAGGTCCTAAATATCTTTGCTAATTTTCTGCCTCAATGATCTGTTTAACACTGTCAATGAGGTGTTAAAGTCTCCCACTATTATTGAGTGGTTATGTAAGTCTCTTTGAGGGTCTCTGATAACTTATTTTATGAATCCGTGTACTCCAATGTTGGGTGCATATATATTTAGGATAATTAAGTCTTCTTGTAGAATTGAACCCTTTGTCATAATGTAATGCTTTTCCTTATCCTTTTTTTTTTTTTTTTTTTTTTTTTGAGACGGAGTCTCGCTCTGTCACCCAGGCTGGAGTGCAGTGGCACGATCTCAGCTCACTGCAAGCTCTGCCTCCCGGGTTCACTCCATTCTCCTGCCTCAGCCTCCCGAGTAGCTGGGACTACAGGCGCCCACCACCATGCCCGGCTAATTTTTTGTATTTTTAGTAGAGACGCGGTTTCACCGTGTTAGCCAGGATGGTCTCGATCTCCTGACCTCGTGATCCGCTGGCCTCGGCCTCCCAAAGTGCTGGGATTACAGGCGTGAGCCACCATGCCCAGCCTCCTTATCCTTTTTGATCATTATTGATTTAAAGTCTATTTTGTGTGAAATAAGAATAGCAATCCCTCCTCGTTTTGGTTTTCCATTTGCTTGATAGATCTTTCTCCATTCTTTTACTTTGAGTCTATGAATGTCATCGCATGTGAGATTGGTCTCTCAAAGACAGCATACAGTTGGGTCTTGCTTCTTTATTCAACTTGCCACTCTGCCTTTTAAGTGGGGTGTTTAGCCCATTTACATTCAAGGTCAATATTGATATATGAGAATTTGGTCCTGTCATGTGTCGTTAGCTGGTTGTTATGTAGACTTGATGGTATTGTTTCTTTATAGTGTTAGTGGGCTATGTATTTAAGTGTGTTTTTTTGTAGTGGCAGGTATCAGTCTTTCATTTCCATATTTAGTACTCCTTTAAGGACCTCTTGTAAGACAAGTCTGTTGGTAATGAATTTCCTTATCATTTGTTTGTCTGAAAAGGATTTTATTTCTCCTTTGCTTTTGAAGCTGAATTTGGCTGGATATGAAATTCTTATTTGGAATTTGTTTTCATTAGGATGCTGTGTATAGGCCCCCAGTCTCCTCTGGCTTGTGAGGTTTCTGCTGAAAGATCCACTGTTAGCCTGATGGGGTTTCATTTCTATGTGACCTGCCCCTTCTCTCTAGCTATCTTTAAGATTTTCCTTTTACATTAACCTTTGAATTGGATGACAAATGGAGAATTGGATGACTATATGTCTTGGGGATAATTGTCTTGTATAATATCTTGCAGGGGTTCTCTGAATTTTCTAAATTTGCATTTCAACCTCTCTAGTGAGGTCAGGGAAGCTTTTGTGGACAGTATCCTCAAATATGTTTTCTATATTGCTTGCTGTCTCTCCATCTCTTTCAGGAATGCCAATGAGTCATAGGTTTGGTCTCTTTACATAATCTCATATTTCTTGGAGGTTTTGTTCATTTTTTAAAATTCATTTTTCTTTATTTTTGTCTGCCTTTGTTGATTTGAAGGAAGTGGTTTTTGAGCTCTGAGATTCTTTCCTTAGCTTGATATATTGTTTTTAATACTTCCAGATGCATTATGAAATTTCTATAGTGAAATTTTAATTTCCAGAATTTCAGTTTGGTTCTTTCTAAAATGGCTATGTCATCTTTCAAGTCTTGGATTGTTTTACTGCTTTTCTTGGATTGGGTTTCAGCCTTCTCCTGTATCTCTTTGAGCTTCCTTGCCATCCAGAATCTGAATTCTATGTCTATCATTTCCATCATTTGAGTTTGGTTAATAACCGTTGCTGGAGAGCTAGTGCAGTTGTTTGGAGGTAAGAATACACTTTAGCTTTTAGAGTTGCCAGAATTTTTGCACTGCTTCTTTCTCATCTGTTTGAAGTCATGTTTCTTTAATCTTTGAAGTTGTTATCCTTTGGATAGGGCTTCTAGATTTTATGTTCTTTGATACTCTTGAGGGCTTGTTTGTGGCACAAGTTGAATTTAGTCAATTGCCTTTGTTTCTGGATGCTTTCAGGGGGCCAAGGCTCAGCTCAGCACTTCTGGTTTGTGTGTTGTAACCCTCAGGACCTAGGACCAGGCTCGTACCTTTGTTTTCTGGCCCCTCGAGGTCAAACACCTGCTGCACTGGAGGGGCCAAGGTGTTCCCAGTCCAATGACAACAATACTCCCATGGGGGTTGCCAACAAAAAGTGCTGCAGTGGGGCAGCAGGAGTCCATGGGAGAGTGTGCTGCAGTGGGTGGTGGGGGGGTG
The DNA here is from genome assembly GCF_000001405.40 of Homo sapiens. Taxonomy (NCBI): domain Eukaryota; kingdom Metazoa; phylum Chordata; class Mammalia; order Primates; family Hominidae; genus Homo; species Homo sapiens. Next base: position 225,380 of record NT_187615.1, on the reverse strand, counting down.
CTGCAGCCAAGTGTGCACTAGTGAGTAGGCTGGGGGGCCATTTGTGTGGCAGTAGGTTGGGGCCCATGGGTGTGTGTGCACCAATGGGATGGTGAGAGAGGCTGCAGGCATGTGTACCCTGGTGGGATAGTGATGGGTCCCTGTGTGTGTGTACCAGCAAGGTGGCAGGGGTAGGCCACGGTGAGTGTGTGCTGGTAAGGTGGCAGCTCGTTTCTGTGTGTGTGTGTGCTCACCAGTGGGGAAGCAGTGGGAGGCTGCAGGTGAGTGTGTGCTGGTGGGGGAAGGGTACAGGTGGAGGCATCCTGGTGGAGGTTCATCTGCAAAAGTGCTCCAACAGGAAGGTGGGGGCTGTCAGTGAAGGAGCTATGGTGGTGGCCACTGGCAAGCATTTCAGCAGGGCAGCTGAGGCTGTTCTGCAAATATGTGTGGCAAGGCAGGGACCCTGGGAGAGGCCAGCAGAAGAGGTCGTTCAGATAAGACTGGCTCCATCCCATGGGTAAGACAGCCCTGCTCTTTCCCAGTCCAGCTGCTAACAAACTCTAAACCCACCTAGAGGAGTATGGTGAGTCTTGGGGGATGGGAGTCCATGGCCATGCTCCACTGCAGTTGTTCCCGCACCAGACCCTCTGGGATCCATGCTGCCTGGAATTCTGTCTCTGCCAAGACTCTAGGCAGTTATTCCTGTCAACTCAAATGTCCACGGGGCTCATGGGGTCTCTCACAGCTAGGATCTCAGAGGTCTGTGATAAGAATGGGCTGTTCCATGCCTATTTCACTCGCCCCTTCCTGGGAGCCACTTGAAGCCAGGAATGAGTCCTGGTGCTTGGCAACTTGGTGCACAGTTCCCAGCTTCCTCCCCTTTCAGCCTTGGGATCTGCATCCTCCCTGTATCCAATCGACTCTCAATGTCTTCTTTCTGAATATCTGTTCTGAGAGTGCCAGTCTACTTGACAGTCTGGTCTCTCTTTGTGGGAGAAGCTTTTCTGGGCTGTGTCTAATCCTTGACTCTTCCTCCCAACTTTCTCCTTCATACTTTAGGATCTTTCTGTGTTTTAATTTCTTTCCGGTTCTCCTGACTCTGCTGTGTTTTGGACTTGCTATTCTGCCCTTTGAAATTAGAGCTCCTTACTGTGCTTCTGCCTCATTTTTCACACAGCTACTCCCACTCATCTATGAACTATCAACCTAGATTTTGCCTCTCTTGGAAAACTTTCCTGCACTGCCTCCCCACATAGATCAGGTGCTCCAAGTACCCTAAGCACATTTTCCCTCCCAACAGGCTTATCCTACTGCAAAGGAACATCAGTGTGGGCATTTAATTGCTCAAACCAGGACACTCTTAAGAGAGGGGGCAACTATTAATAATTATTCTGAAACAACACACAGAAACCAGGACTGTCCCAGAAAAAACTGGTCTGTCTTGTCAGTGTTTCTGGAATTTTATATTGAATTGCATAATTTCCCCACCATCAGTAGCTTATTGGCAAAGTAGAACCTCATTCCTATTTTATTTTCTGCTTTGATATGGTTTGAATATTTGTCCCATCCAAATCTCATGTTAAAGTATAATCCCTCATGTTGGAGGTGGGGCCTGGTGGGAGGTGATTGGGTCATGGCTGCGGATCCCTCATGGCTTGGCGCTGTCCTCATGACAGTTTTCACGAGATCTGGCTCTTCCCTCCCTGCTTGCTCCTGCTCTCGCCATGTGATGTGCCACTCCAGCTTCGTCTTCTGCCAGGAGTAAAAGCTCCCTGAGGCCTCCCCAGAAGCTGAGCAGATGCCAGCACCATACTTTCCATAGAGCCTGCAGAATGTGAAGAATTTAACCTCTTTTCTTTATTAAAAAATTAAACCTCTTTTCTTTATATATTATTAACTTATTAATATATTATTAATTTATAAAGAAAAGAGGTTTAATTCTTTCATAAAGGAAAGAGGTTAGTTCTTCATGTTCTGCAGGCTTTATGGAAAGCATGGTATTTCTTTATAGCAACACAAGAAATGGCCTAACCATGTGTTTATTCATTTGTTCTATCTCATTGCCTAATGCATAATTGCAGCTCAAAAATAGTACCTATTATATAAAAAACAATTATACTTGTAAATGTATAAGTGTATATATATATATGTACAACAAAATAACATTTCTATGGAGCTGTATAATAGCAAAATATAAAATAATATGTGTATGTGCCTATTGTCTGTCAGGCAGTGAGCTTATTTACCATGTTTTGAAATATTGATTTTTATAATTCTCACTTTATATACGGGAATGCTGTGGCACAAGGAAGTATAGAGATAAGATTTAACCTCTAATCAATCAGTCAGATGCTAAACCACCAGTGTGCTTTGTGATAGTTAATTTTAAGTGGCAACTTAACTGTCAACCAGACATGTCCAGCTATCTGGTTAGACATTATTTCTGGGTATGTCTGTGTGGGTGTTTTGAAAGAGGTTAGCATTCAAATAGGTAGACTGAGTAAGGTAGATTGTCCTTGCCAATGTGTGTGGGCCATCATCCAATCCCTTGAGAGCCTGAGTAGAGCACAGAGGTGCAAGAAGGGAAGATTTGCACTCTTCCTGACAGTTTGAGTCAGGAAATCAATCTTCTGCTCTAGTACTCCTGGCTCTCAGCTTTCAGACCAGAACTAGAATCTATACTGTCAGCTCTCCAGCTTCCAGGTCTTCAAAATACACCACTGGCTTTCTCATGTCTACAGCTTGCAAAGAACAGATCTCAGGACTTCTCAGTCTCTGTAATGGTGTGAGCCAACTCCTTATAAATCTCATTATTTACATATGTGTGTACACACACACACACATTGGTTCTTTGGAGTACTCTAACACAGATGAGTTTCTGGTGTGTTTTCTGCTTTTGCCAGTTTTCTCGACCACAGTTTTCAGGAGTCATCTTAACATTTTGTTCCCTTTGATGTGTCCTTTGAACTCTGCCTTGGGCTCAGTGGCCAATATAGGTCATTATTTATGTGACTTACAATTATTCCGAGTAGTGAGGGAACTGTGGAGACTCTACACACACAAAACAAAACAAAATCATTTTGGCAATGTTGAGAGAGATGTTAAAGGGAAAAACGGGTCATTCTGGCAAGGAATTGGTAAGTAGGATTCAACTACTTAAAGGTGTTCATACAGTTTTTAAAAAACACAAGTGCAGCATGTAACACTAACCATCATCATTATGACCTTATTGATGAGAGCCTTGTTAGTATGATCTGTGGAATGATTCCACCTATGGGCTGATATTTCTTTTCCTTCTCAGTTTCCAAAGTAAAATAAGTTAACATGGAATATTGAGAAATCTGAACAGCAGCACTTATGTCAAATAACTTTTACCTTTGTAGCTTTTAACTCAAGCTGATGTCAACATATGAGGATTCGATCCTGCTTTGTCTCTTTCTAGTTTGTGTTGAATGGTATTTGTTCTCTGGTCTTAAGACAAAATATACCCCCGAAGCCTCCCTTACTTCCTTTATCACTCTACAATGTTATGTACATTCCATGTATTAGGACGTATTTCCAGTTTTCACCTTTCTTAATACTACATTTCTTCTCATTGTAGCACGTCATAATCTGATTGGTAGAAACCATTATTGTCTGGTGCCAAGAATAACCAAACATAGCTCAAAACATCAGTCTGATATTATCCCAGGGCAAGCTAAGTTGTAAACTGAATACAACTGAAATAATTCTTTCAACCCAAGGAAGGTCAGTGGTGGGAGGGGCAGTGGACTGATTCCCTTAATGTCTCAGAAGTAAGAATTTGCCTATATAGATGCTATTTAGAGGGCAGTTTTGGTAATTCAACGTTCGTGTTTCACAGCTTGTAAGCCATTGACCAAGTATGTGAGTATTCCTCTATTTCTACTTTAGAGCTGAATGAAGTACAAAATATTAAAGAATAAATGACAGACTTGGGAAATTGTATGATATCTCCCAAGGATGGTAGCATATTTTAGAGTTCATATTACTTTTTAAGCAATTATACTGTAAGAGATATTGATAAAATATATTAAAGTATTTTAATTATAGTTGAAGACTTAATCACCATATTGGGATAAAAGACTAAATTTGAAGTCGTTGGAGGTTTGTGTAGTGCTGTGTTATTATTCTATTTCCAAAATAGTAGTTTTTATTTTGCGGTAGTTTAACATTTGTCTGTCTTGATATTCCAACATGGAACTGTATATCATAAGTGGGTTTTTTGGTATTATTTTTGTCAAGAGTAGAAAATTCTGGAATTTTTATGGTGAACAAATTAAACTACTTTAAAGAATAAAGGGAACTCCATGGGTATTCTGCATGGTGCTCTGATTCTACAAACTTTCTTAGTCTTTTTGCATAAATTTACCAAATCCTCCATGTAAAATTTGTCAAATATTATTTTCAGTACTTCTAGTTCCTAGAAATCCAAGATACTCAGTTTAGACATGTTTCAATGTTGATCAGAACCATGTAAAGCATTATTATTCACTTAATGCAACTAATATGAAAATTATCAGCAAAAACCAAAAACAAATTAACAAAAACAAGAATTACGAAGGCTTACCACGTGTCAAACTCTGGAGAGCTGTGGATACAAGGATGAATAGAATAGAATTTCTAACCTTGAACAATTCACAGTCTAGTGGAGAGATAAAGATACACAAATATCTGTAGCTCAATAAATGAGACATTTGCAAAGCTCTATTAGAACACAGGTGGAGAAGTGATTGATTTTTCTCAGGAAGTTGTGGAGAGTTAACAGAAAAAAAGTGAACTTTGAGTTGGACATTAGAGGATGAGTTAATTTTCCAGAGAGACTGTTGAGACAGATCATTACAGAGAGTGGAAAAATGTCCATTGAACATGTTAGGAATGGGAAGTAGTCCATGGATACTAACATGAACAGTGTACAGGGAATGCAAGAGTTCTCAGCAGGATCCCACACACCAAAAGATTTTCTTATGATGCAGAGTAGTTTAAACTTCAGGTGACCCTACCAGGTCAGGTATCATCAGATACTGAAAAGACAAAAGGCCTGGGAACCAGGCCACCTGTGTGCAAGTTCTGACCTTGCCATTAGCAAGAAAATATCCTTTGAGTCAAGTTTTTTACCTTTCTTGCCTCCAAAATGAGGCGGTACCTACAGCACTAAAATTCTAATTTATAGACTGAGGATAATGTTTTATCCAAAGAGAAACTGGGTTGAAAAAAGGAGTTTTGTTTGTCTGCAAAACCTGAAATATATTTAATTCCTATTCTAGTTGTAGTCACTTTAGCTTACATATAGAACTGAATTTATATGGTGTAACCAAGGAGAAGACTTGACATATAGGCTGATGATCCACAAATACCCTCAGCAAAATGATATAAATGAAGAAGGAGAAATTACTTCTTTCAAAATAAGAGAAGAAATAATGGCCTGAGACAAAGGATAGTTTTTTTTTTTTTTTTTGAATAGACTTAAAAGTCTTCCAATCTTTGAGAGTATCTGGCCTGTATTGCAGACTCCCTGGAGGAGCAGGAAAGGGCTTTTCTGAGATTCTTGGGGCAGGCATGTGAGCTATAGAATTGGGGAAGAGGATGGAGGAGTTGAAAGAGGCCATGTCAGTAACAGGCTAAAGTAGAGGAACAGAGGGCTTTCAGGAAACTGGAAACTCATCATCAGAGTCTTACTCCCAGGGAGCACAGAACTCAGAATTCCTTACTGCCTTTTAGAGAAGTAACATTTATTAAGCATCAACTGTATATTTGCCACCATATTACTCCCTCTACATGTATTTACTCCTCAGAAAAACTCTTAAGAAGAAAGGAAACCAACACATATTAATGCATATCAAATACTTACTAAGTCTCATAGGCTGTGTTACATGGTTTAGTGAATAGGATCTCATTGAAATCTCAGAGTGGCCCTCCCAGGTAAGTATTATGTAAGCGTGTAATTCTCTACTGCCTCTTTATGTGAAATGAAGCACCTGAGCTCCAAAAAGATAAATAAAGCTGCCCAAGGTCAGGGGGCTGAGTCAGGCTTTGAACCTAGAACTCTTCCGCTCCAAGGGCCACACCTTGCCGCAGCATCCACAGAGGGTGTTGTCAACTAATTCCCAATGGGACTGGTTTCTTGCAGGGCCATTTCTTATAATCTGCTGGAAGATTTACCCTAATAAAAACACTCCATTTGCATCTGTTCTTGCAGGTGGTAGAGACACAGTCGGTAAAAGTTGACATACGACCAGAGGAAGGGCATCCATTTTTCTTTCTTTCTTCAGTTAAAGCTCTGAATTGGATCCAGCTGTTCTTTGATGCAGAGGCCAAGAGACCCCAATATCCTGCTTTTTGTTTTCCTGGAAGTTATTGGCTATTGTTAGCCATAAAGGCTAGGTTAGAACCTCTTAAGGAACTAAAATGTTGGTCAACGGGTGCTGGGAGCAAGGTCACAGAACAGCAGAGGTGATGGCATTTCAAGGTCAAGCCTCAATTTCAGGCCTGGCCAAAGCCAGGTGTTTACCTTAATGGGAAATAGTCTAAATAAACTTTAACAAATAAGCTGACTGAGCTCTTCTCACCCTTTACTTAGAAAAAGTAATAATATAATTTTAATAATAATTCTCATCATTTATCAAGTCATTATTACATGCTAACTACTGTGCTGAGCTATTTGTAAACCCCATCATTGTCATCATTTTTATCTCGGACTTTTACTGAGCATTTATTATGTACCATGCTCTCATACTAAGCAATTTAGTCTTCACTGCCTTGTGTGGTACATGCTAATATAGTGCCCATTTTCAAGGCAAAAAATTGAAACTTTGGATTATAAGCTTTTCCAATGTGCCATTACTAGTTAATAACAAAAGTAGGAGATTAAAATAGAACTGTTTATTGAGATTCTCAGAGGTCTTGGAATGGGTTGCAATAGAATTAAAAGGAAGGGGCATGAAAAAAGCAAAATTATTGAGAGAACTGAGAAATTTGCCAGCTCCTTATACCATGCCAGCACTGCCCCTGCTGCCTCTTGTGATGCTTGTTCTCTCTTTTTATCCTCTGGTTTTGCAGCCAGAGGGGATAGACTGTTTGGATTGGCATAATCCTAGGCACATCTAGAAATGGGATTCCCAAATTTCTTACCAAAGAACAAACTCCAGTCAATACCTTTATGGATCAGCTTGGTTAGAATAAGAAACTCACCCACAAAATTAAACTTGGAACTCACAAAGGATTTTCGTCTTCCAAATGTCAGATGTGATAGAGGGTTGTTGGTGAGTCACTCCCTTTTCAAGGAACAGAGGCATAATTCCCAGTGGAATAATGAGCTTCAGCCCTCTGGCGCCCAAGGAACTCACACAATGGGCAGATGTCCGAACTCCACTGGCCATGTCCCAGACGCAAACAATAGAACACTGGCCAACTCCTACTAAAGAGAGTTTCTGAAGCCATGGTACTGCCTTGGCTGGCCAAAAATGCATTACGAGACCACAGTTATCCACAATAGTCTCACTTCATAAAGCAGGAAAGGGTTAGGGAGGGGAAGTAACGTGAGCTTACATTTTCTAATGGAGTTTGAGAAAAAGGGCTCAGAAATTTTGCCTCTTTGCCCTTTTTGGATGATGGATTACTTCAGTTTTATGAAATGCTGGAGCTAAATCCCTTCAGGGTTGGGACTACATGAATATTAATTGGTCCCTAATAAGAAGAGGGAGGCTTTGCTCATTGCCAGTCTGGGACAGTCATCATCATTGGTCTTTTCCAGACTTTGTTTTAAAGGAGATCCTTTTACGGGCAAATCCAGAGACAGACTTGGGAAGAAGATTTCTATTAAGTTTTCTACAGTCACCAGTTATTTTGTTCCTAAAAAATTGCATCATGTTATAGGAATATAAAGACATTGGATGATCTAAGCCGATCCTATTTCATATCCTCTGAAATGGATGCAGACTATAGAATTCAGGATAAGCATTTTTTTACGGTTCCTAGAATTTTGTCTATGTGTGTAGTTATGCTGTACTTTCATATACGTTATCTTCCCTCAAGATAAAGCAGGTATTGTTTTTCCTCTTTTACAGCCAAGATCAGTAATTAAATAACTTGCCATTGATAGATCACAGTGAGTGAGTGGCAGAACTGGGGCTTTAACCAAGGTCTCCTGACTTAAGCCCCGCTTTCCTTCCATTTTCTACACAGGTCCTATCCAGTCCATATAGGCCACTCCTTGTTTCTTCTACTCATTCTATTAATATAGATTGCCCTGGCCATGACAACTTTTCCATACACAGAAATAACATGGAGCATAGACAAATTGCATTTGCATAATTTACCTGCCAAGCAGTGACTTTTGCTATTGGGCAGAAACAATTAGTTTTAGAGGAGTGATTTAACTCTAACTTTTAGGGAGATAAAAAAATTATTTCCTGAGATATATTTACAGGTGAGTGTTCTCCAATGAATAGATCCCTGTCAATCATGCTAAGACAATGAAACTAGGAACTGCAGATGCATTTGGCTGGGTAGGATCAAAACCATAAAAACATTAAAAAAATCATATTAAGTCATTGAAAGTAGGTTTTATTTTTATCAGAGCCACTAAAAGTCTATACATGGTTCCCTTGGGCATAATTCTGAAAGCTAAGAAGACTTCTGCTAAATTAGAGGAAAATAAAACAGAACTCCCCCTCATCTTGCAGAATTTTCAAGCCAAGATTGAGGGTTCTAACCCTGTTGGATTTGGAATGGGGTCTAAACTTGGCAAAAAGGTGCTAGCCCCTCCCTGTTGGAAATCTCTCAAGAGAGTCAGCTCCAGTTTTCCAAAAACTTGCAGCCCAAATATGTCTGGTTCCACATCTGAACTTTGTAGTAGTTGACATCTATTAGAAATTACCAACTCCACTTCAGAAACCTAAAATCAAACTGAACTGCGATGGGCTTATGAAGTGAAACTGATAAGGTTACCATATAACTTAAGCAAACACTGAACCTGCCTTGAAAACCCATGTGAATGCTCAGTCACAGTTTTGGCAACGACTCAGAGATCTTTGGAAATATTAATGAGGAGGAAGCGGAAGGAGATCTCATTTTTCTCTTCTAATCCATTACTTCCACATAGCTACTGTATTCCATGACCTCAGAGGACAGAGGTTCTGAAACTAGCATAACCATGGCCCCTGTGAAGTCAGAGTTCTTTCAAAACAAGGTGATAATTTTTCTTAATCTGAGTTAACTGAGTAGAGCTAGTAACAGAATAAGAAAATTGCTATTTTGACTTCACCAAGGGACTGGCAGCCTGTAAGCTGGAAAAACCCGGATAGGTTTGCTCACAAAGACGGAACAGCACTTACAGATGGGATAAGATATTAATCCAATTTGGAACTCTCTAGTGAACAGAGAGGAAGTGGCCAATTAGAACGGTCTGCTGTGGCCTAAAAGCTGAGAGGACACTTAAAGTGGCTGATCGACTCTGGTTTGGTTGGTTGGTTGCTCTTTTGTTTTTTATTTTTTTATTTATTTTTATTTTTTGAAACAGAGTCTTGCTCTGTCACCCAGGCTGGAATGATGCAGTGGCACAAACTCGGCTCACTGCAACGTCTGCCTCCCAAGCGGTTCTCCTGCCTCAGCCTCCCAAGTAGCTGGGACTACAGGCATGTGCTACCATGCCTGGATGATTTTTGTATTTTTAGTAGAGACGGGGTTTCACCATGTTGGCTAGGCTGGTCTTGAACTCCTGACCTCAGGTGATCTGCCCGCCTTGGCCTCCCAAAGTGTTGGGATTACAGGCATGAGTCACTGTGCCCGGGCTGCTTTTTTATTTCTGTTAAGGATCCTATAATGTAGAAAATCTGCCTAGTCATTTTTTTGTTTCTTGTAAATGTTGAGAATTTGGTAACCTTGCAATTTATTTGTGAATGTTGAGGCTCATAGCAATGCCATCTCGGGAGTAACACATGCTGTATCCATCTGGGGCAACAGGAGTAGCAGGAAAACCCATGGATCTGGCCCAAACAGTCTGCCTCCTAAATGGCAATGTGGCCTTGGGATAAATCACTTAAATCCTCTGAGCTTCAGTTTCTTTAATAGTAAATGGTTATTATATCTTTTTCAAAGTGGTGAAAATCAAATGAAATAATGTATATGCAATCCTCTAGCACAGGGTCTATCATAAGCATAGGTTTTAGAGGTTATTTTATAAGGATATGCAAATTCCATCTCTCCTACTCTCTCATCTCTTCTACCTTCTCAAAGTATTTCTAGGAGAAGAAAACCTAAACTTGTCTCTGGAACATTATTCATAATAATTACGCTAAGTATGGGACTCCTAGGCATGTAAATAGCGTGGCTTTCCATTTTAACATCAAGGGAAAGAAGGTAAGACAGCATGTATGTATCATTCTTCCTTCTTTCTACTTATTTCATTAGAAACTCTGCCTAATGATTTTTTCCCCTTTTTTAAGATAAAGTGTAGATTGCCATGCTTAGAAGTAATGACTCTTCCTTGATTGAGTCAAAAGGTTGGGAGATCTAAAAAGCAGTTTTTGACTGATAATGTTATGATCCATCGAGACACAGATATACTGTATGTGGCACACAAAGTTTTTATAAAAATGACAGAGAATTCCCTCCCTCTCAACTCCCACATCTCCCACACTGCAGAGAGGCTGGCCCTAGCATCTTCTGCAAGTCCTGCTCTCAATAGGACAATAACATGTTTGCTTTTACTTTATCATATTTATATTTTGTAGATATCATGGCAGCAAACTGAGTAATCAGTAGCATTACAACAGTTTCAAACTACTGATGCATTGTAGTTTTAATGTGTAAAATGTAATAGCAAGCAAAAGCATTTCTTATAATACTGCTGCATTTTTTTGGGCCGTTGACAAAAAGGTAATGACAGTATTCATGTCCAGTAGATCAATGGCCATATCAGGGAGAGTAGAGGTTTTTTTTGTTTGTATCCTTATGGGATTCAGTCTTTGAAAGACAGGTTCGGGTACGGTAGCTGGACAATTAGAAGGCAGGATGGGTAGAGGTTTTTGGAGGTTTTGGTATTTGGAGTCTGACAGCCTCTTTTCCCAACCCGGGTTTGTTGTGTATTCATTGTGTGAAATTGGGTGAACCACTTTACCTAAGTCTGTTCTGTCATCTGTAAAAATGGGATTATAACACCTCCTGCTCAGAGTTGTTCCAAAGATTAAATGAGATTATGATAGATAAAACATTCGGTAAAGAGCTTAGCATTGTGTTAAGTGACTGATAGCTATTAGTGGAGCTTGAGAAACACTAGTACAGAGAAGACATTAAGGATTGGAGTGGCCTTGGACTGCAGCAGTGGCTTTCTATGTAATGTCCATGATCCACCTGTGATTTATCTGCTTTTCCCATATGATACTGCAGAGCCTGATGTAAGTGTGCTGTGGTGGGGCCATTGGCTTCCTGTTGCCTTGCCTTTCAGCGTTCTTAACGTAAAGGACCAAGTAGCTCACACATCTGCTAGCCAGGCCATAGCTGTGTATAAAAGGAAGACTGAGCCTGCATCTAGGTGAAATTATTTTAAGTAAGCTGATCCACAAGCGGTAAATGACTATATTAGTCTGTCCTCATGCTGTTAATGAAGACATACCTGAGACTGGGTAATTTATAAAGTAAGAAGGATTAATGGACTCACAGTTCCACATGGCTGGGGAGGCCTCATAATCATGTCTGAAGGTGACTGAGGAGCAAAGTCACATCTTACATAGTGGCAGATGGGAGAGTTTGTGCAGGGGAACTCCCCTTTATAAAACCATCGGATCTTCTGAGACTTATTCACTATCATGAGAACAGTGTAGGAAAGACTCTGCCCCGTGATTCAATTACCTCCCACCCAGGTCCCTCCCATGACACATGGAAATTATGGGAGCTACAATTCAACGTGAGATTTGGGTGGGGACACAGCCAAACCATATCAATGACCTTCTCTCCTTCCCTCTTCCCCTCCTTCCCTGTCCACCTCCTTCCCTGTCCACCTCCTTCCCTGTCCACCTCCTTCCCTGTCCACCTCCTTCCCTGTCCACCTCCCTGCTTTCTTTTCTATTCACTTACATATTTAACAATATATTTGAGTGCTAATTATGAGTTGTCATTTGTTGAGGCTTGATATATAAGAGCAGTAAACTGTATACTGTCCATGCTCTCCCAGAGCTGACATTCTAGTGGTGGTGGTAAGGGGGGGACAGGAAGTGAAGACATATAGAATCAAACAAACATTATGTACATAGAGGTGACAGTAAGTACCAGGGTAAACTATGACACTGGAAGAGGCTGATGGGGGATTAGGCTATGGAAGATATTTCTAATAAAGGAACATTTATGTAGGGACTAGAGGAAGGTGAAGGAGAGAGACATATGATTATCTAGGGGAAGTATTCCATGGAGGGAGCAGCCAGTGCAAAGGCCTCCTGGAAGCTCAGTGAGGAAGCCAGTGTGGTTGGTGTAGAATGTGACAGGGCAGGAGATGAGAGAGGTGGGCAGGACCAAAAGACATAGGGTGTGTGAGGCATTGCAAAGACGCTGGGTTTTACTCTGAGTTGGATGTGATGCCATCAAAGGCTGTTGAGTGGATGAAAGACACAGTAAAATGTAACTTTTGAGAAGGATCTTCTGGAGCCTATTTGGGACATGGAAGTAAACACCAAGTGAGAAAAGAGCAATCATAGGGATTGCTCTGCCTTTTCCATTGAAAAGCTTCTGCCTTTTCCATTGAACCAGTCATGTTTAGTTAAAAAGAAAGCAAAATAAAGTGCTAATATTTCTATCTACAGATGCAGCTTCCAGCTTTTCCTTCATTCTCTTTTTTCCCCCTTCCCTTCTCTGTTCTTCATATCCTTTCTTCCCTATTTCCCCTTCCCTTCTCTATTCTCATTGGTGTATGAATTATTATTCCTGATGGCAAGTGATATGGTTTGGCTTTGTGTCTCCACCCAGAGCTCACCTTGAATTGTAATCATCCCCATGTGTCATGGGAGGGACCCAGTGGGAGGTAATTGAATCACGGAGGTGGGTTTTTCCCTTGCTGTATTCATGATAATGAATAAGTCTCAAGAGAGCTGATGGTTTGGTAAAGGGGAGCTCCCCTGCACATGCTCTCTTGCCTGCCGCCATGTAAGACATGACTTTGCTCTTCATTAGCCTCCTGCCATGATTGTGAGGCCTCCCCAGCCATGCTGAACTGTGATTCAATGAAACCTTTTTCCTTTATAAATTATCCTAATTATAAATAATTAGTCTTGGGTATTTCTTTATTAGCAGCATGAGAACAGACTAATAGAGCAAGTAATTCCATTGTATCATGCATTCATTTTATGTCAATGTGCTACATAAAAAAAGAAACCCATGTCCTTTTCAGTGTTATAATCATATTTGAGATTATGTCATGTCCATGACTCAGTTTCCTCACCAGTCTCTTCTGAGAACCTCCAAGGAAAGCATCAAGAAGAATGTGTACTTCATGATGGTCAGTTTGCCCTGCATCATCTTTCCCTTCCTGTTATACCTTTCTTTGGAAAAGGAGTACCAATTTGAGAAGGTGGTTATCCTTCTTTAGTAGCAGTACAGCTACAGTTAGAAAGTGTTACCTCTGGCACTTCTGATCAATTTATAGGTCATCATTCTAATAATCAGTGATAGTATTTATTGAAAACTTACTATGTGCTAGGTATATTGCTGAATGAACAGTATGCAATGTACTAGCTCCTTTAAGGCTCACTACTACTATCATCCCATTTTGTAGATGTTAAGACCAAGTCTTGAGTTTCAGTAATTTTTGCAATGTCATATACTTATTAATTTGTAAAGGCATGACTCTACCTCCGTCAGTCTGAGTCAGTCTGTATTTTCCACAACCATGCAATATTACTTTCCAGCCATTTAGCTACTCACTCACGTAAATAGTTATTAAATGTGAAAATATTGTGCTAGGACAGGATGTGGAATGTATGTGTAGTTGTATAAATCAAATCTAATATAAAAATGGTATTTCTTAAAAATATTGGTTAATTTTATGTCCACCAAATTTTGAACCATTAAAATGGAGACTTTTTAAATAATGTAAAATTCTGCTCTTTTTTGTTATCATTAAGAGCTGGAGTACAACGTTTTAAAAAAGGATTTGTCTTACACAAAAAATATTTCAAGTACGATTTTTCTCTGATTAGAGACAGGTCCACATTCAATTACTTCATGTTAAGCACCTAGGGTTTATTTATTGTTAAAAGATTATGAATAAGATTCCATTCCTTTCCACCAAAAGAGACAAGTTTTCAGAAGGAATAAGGAATATCTCAATGGTTAAGGCCAGCACACGACAGCTTTTCCTTGCCAATGATGGAGAGCTAAGTCTTCCATTTTCAGTCAGAGCTGAAAGGTTGCTAGGTTCTGCTGGACAAAACCATAAGAAAGATTTTCTTAGTGCATGGGGATATCTATGGTGTATTCTTCTAGGATCTCTTTGCGATTTATCTTTTTATCATCTCAGTGTCACTGGGAGGCATTTGAACATTTTTTCTGTCGCAGTTACATAAGGGGAAAAGAAACCTTAGAGAGTGTAGTGAATCTATTAAGATCCTGAAGGTACTTGACAAGAAGTTGAATGTATTGGGATTCTCCAGAGAAACAGACCAATGGGATGGAGATTATGTATCTATCTTTCTATCTATCTATCTATATCCATCTATATATATCTATATATATATCTCCATACATACATACATATATATGCACATATATATATACACACATATATATATATACACACACATATATATATATATATATATACACACACACATACACACACAGAGAGAAAGAGGAATGGGCTCAAGTGATTATGAAGGCTGACAAGTCAGCTCCAGGAGCTGCAGTCAGCAAGTTGGAGACCTAAGAGAGCCTATGGTGCAGTTACAGTCTGAGTCCAAAGGCCTAAAAACTGGGAGAGCTGATGGTGTAGTTCTAGTCTGAAAGCCAGCAAGCTCGAGACCTAGGAAGAGCTAATGTTTCAGTTGAGTCCAAAGGCAGGAAAAAAAAAATGTTGTTTTAGCTCAAGCAGTCATGCAGGAGGGGGTTCCCCATGATTCAGGGGAAGCTCAGACTTTTTGTTCTCTTTAGGCCTTCAACTGATTGGATAAGGCCCACCCACATGAGGAAGGGCTGTCTGCTCTACTGATTGAAATGTTTACAACTTAAATGTTAAACTTACCCCAAAACAGTTTTACAGAAACACCCAAAATTATGTTCGACTAAGTATCTGAGCACTCCATGGCCCAGTCAAGTTGACATATAAAATTAATCATCACATTGGGTCTCTACCTTCATGTCTTATGCCGTATATATTTTACTTTTCACCCCTCCCCACATACAGTAATATAGTAGCAGCAAAACAAACATAAAAGATAAATAAACAAATTATTTTTCTAAAGGAATATCCTGAATGGCAGAATGAAATCTAAATTGAACATAAGACATTATCTAAATGATTTGTAATATGTTAATATTTATCTGAATCCTGACCACACCTAAGATTTCGACATAGACATTTAAAAAAATGGAAATGGAAATCAAAACAGGGATTGCTTGTACATTTAAATATGTCCTGAATATGAATCAATACCCTGGTAAGTTTCTGATTCATTGCATACCATGAAGTGACCCAGAGGCCTTTCAGCACTCAAAGCGCATTTAGCTTGCTTGCCTTGGCCTGAATAGGAAAACCACAGCTCACTGACTTGCTTGATACACTCTATAAGAAGGCGAAAGCGGGCTGGAAGGGAGGAAACATTCCCGGCAGCACTGACTCCATTTAGAAAGCCTCGGGACAATGAAGGAGCAGTGTGTCCTGGCATCTGACACTGTTAAATACGACCCTACTACTTTACTTTTCATTTCTCACCTTACTCAAATAGGAGGGAAATGAGAGGAAAAGAGAAATTTGGCAGGAATTCCACCTTGGAGACAGAAAATCTTATTGGAATAAAGGTACCACATTGAGGAGCCCTCATTGCAATTGCCTTGGTAACTGGCGAAGTCTTTATTAATTTGCCTACAAACACTTGGAAAAGTTGCATGGGAGGAGAGACTAGCAATGGTTAGTTTGCAAGATAAATGTAAGAGCGGAAACTGACATGAAACAAAAATCAGTGCATGTATCTGAAAGTGAATACAAGAGAGAGTGGAGTGCTCATGGTGATTGAATTCAGTGGCTCTGAACGGCCTCCTAACAGCGTCTTGAGCATGAAGTCCAATCCAGGCATCCGTAGCGTTCTCTCTCGAAGTCTGTCGCATCCTAAAATGCTTTGAGTTTGCAGTAGACCTGAGAATCCTATAGCTTCTGTCGTTCTCCTCATAGTTAAGAACATGGAGATGGATGAAGCTAAATTGAAAACCAAAAGCTTGCTTTCTGGTTGTAGCAGGGATATTTATTTACCAGGATAAGCTTATTGGACTACAAGAAAGAGAATAAAAATGGAGTTTCCGTTCCCTTCCTGAACTCTGATTAGAAGTTGAGCATTTTCAAAGACAATTGTTCCCTGAGATGGGAGCATGCATATATGTAGGTGTGTGACAATAATATGCTTAATAAGTACTAGCTAAAATGAATTCAATCTTTATTAGTCTAGTCACCAACTGAGACTGGAAAACCCAGTATAAAATGGGCTAAGCAGTTCTAGGGATCTTTCTGTGCAGCAGAATACTCTCCTAAGAGGTATAAGCACCCGCCCATAATACTCTGTTCTATCTCAAAACTTTCTCTTCTATTACTACTACCCACATCAATTGTTTTTATTTGAAAACTTATTATATGACACAAGATTTACTTATATACTGTAGGGCATTGCCACAATATAAACTTTGCCTATAAGGAGTTCTTATTCTCTACCTTTTAGGGAAACTGAGAATTATTATTATTATTATTATTTTTTGAGACAGGGTCTCACTCTGTTACCCAGGCTGGAATGCAGTGGCGCGATCATAGCTCACTGCATCCTCGAACTCCTGGGCTCAAGTGATCCTTCCACCTCAGTCTCCTGAGTAGCTGGAACTACAGGTGTGTGCCACCATGCTTACTAATTTTTATTTATTTATTTATTTCATAGAGACTGGGTCTTGCTACATACATTGCTCAGGCTGGTCTCGAACTCCTGGCCTCAAGTGTTCCTCTCACCTCAGCCCTCTAGAGTGCTAGGCTTACAGTTGTGAAACAGAACTTTTAAAATACTGGGGTGATACTTCTGTATAAATGTCAAAATATGGGTTCTTCATGATTTCCTGCAGGAGTAGGAGTTTACTAGAATAAACGTGTGTGTGTGTGGGTGTGGGTGTGTGTGTGCACATGTGCATGAGTGGAAGGTAGAAAGATCTGCTTGGGATGGGAGTTTCTAAGGAGGCACACGGAAGCAGTTCTGGTTAAGGCTGGCAGGAGCAGAAAACCAACTTTGTAATATAAGTTATTTTAAAAGAAGTCAATTCGAAAACCATCTGTGCAAACTGACTTGAGCCATGAAAAGGAAGACAGGCAGCAAATACATGTGTGTGTCGTGATGTTGCGTGGGGTAGAGAGAAAGCCCAGGGATTGGAGGAAATATAGCTGCTTGTTTGTGTTACTTTTATTTCACACTTCAGGGAGAAGGGCTGAGGCTGCTGACAATACTCTCCTTAAATGTCTTTTGGGGTGTTGAGAAAAACAAGACATAGTCTACATTAAAAGAAGACTCACAAAACATTTTTCTAGGTCTTGGTAGTCCCAATTTTAGAATATCGGGGACTAGATAGAGTGAGGCTGTGTGTCTTCCCTGGATTTTATTCATGACTCACACGTGTGACTCAATTTTTTAACTATTGCAAACTGGGGTCTGGCGAGCAGATCTTTTCTTTGTTCAACCCCGATGATGGGTGTATCTGTCTGTAACTGTCAGCCTTACTATTTTAAATGTGTGCTTTGTCACCTTTGAAAAGAGTTTCTTCTTCTGAGTGGCATAATAATATCAACAGCAGTAACAGCTTCTGCCATTAATTGAGCTTTAATTTTGTGCCAGGTGTAGCAATGAGGGGGTTAAGAATTTGGCAGTCAGCAGCTCAGACTCTGTCTTCAGGCTCCTGGATTCAAATCCTGCCTCCATAATTCACTTGTTATGGACCCAATGCTATGTGATTTAGACTGTAGTCTCATCATCTGAAAAATGGGTATGATAATATTACTTTGTAGTCTTATGAGGGAAATGGCTTTATGCTGTGCCCCACACAAGGTGAGCATTTAGTACATTTGAACTATTATATATTTTTTCCATTATTCCCAGTGTTTTATTTAAACTTCACAATAATCTCAAGGGATAGATATTTTTATCCCCATTTGACAGATTACAAAGGAGAGACTTAGAGATGTTGAGTAAGCTATTCCAACATCTAGGAGATGTTGAGTAATATCTCCTAATTGGGGTTTGAATCTGTGTTCATCATTATAGTGGTTTTTTGCCTCTAGGTAGACTGAACTACAGCCTGTTGTGTGATTTGACTTGGAAGTCAGCACACATCTCTTGACAAATCAGCACTGTGGCAAGAAAAATACTATTTCCTTACTCACAGTAATTAATTACTAAAAAGCCGAGCACTTTTCATTATTTTAAATTATTTCACAACAGTTCTGTGAAGCTGACATTCTTATCCCATTTTGGAATACACTAAAAAATAAAACTTTTGGCCAGGCTTGGTGGCTCACGCCTGTAATCCCAGCACTTTGGGAGGCCGAGGCCGGTGGATCATGAGGTCAGGAGATCGAGACCATCCTGGCTAACACGGTGAAACCCCGTCTCTACTAAAAATACAAAAAATTAGCTGGGCATGGTGTTGGGCACCTGTAGTCCCAGCTACTCGGGAGGCTGAGGCAAGAGAATGGTGTGAACCCGGGAGGCGGAGCTTGCAGTGAGCCGAGATTTTGCCACTGCACTCCAGCCTGGGAGACAGAGTGAGACTCCATCTCAAAACAACAACAACAAAAAACCCTTTAAAAATTATAAAATCTTTTAGAACATGTAGTTTCCTTGAGAATGCCTGTCAAGCGCCTGTCTCAGGGGCCTTTGCACCTGCTGCCTGGAATGTTTTCTCTCCAGATACTCACATGGCTGACACTCTTGGCTCTTTCAGATTAGTGTGATCTTCTTTGACTGTTCTATTTAAATTAGAAATGCCATCTTATCTTTATCAGTTCTTAAACCTCTTTGTTGTGTTACTATATTTTTCATAGCACTTACCCCCAAATGACATGCTTTACATCCTATATATTGTACCTATTGTTTATAGATGATCTGTGTTTCTCTGCTAGAAAGTTAGCTCCAGGAACAAAGATATTTTGTCTCCTTTGTTCATGTTGTAATCACTTTACACAGAAGAGGGCAAGGAAAATAGAAGGCACTTGAAACATTTCTTGAATTAATAAATAAGTGGTTATTACTTCACATTTTCTAGCAGTCATAAACTCTAGGACCTAAGTTTAAAATTGCTATGCCTTTTTTTTTTTTTTTTTTGAGATGGAGTCTCACTCTGTCGCCAGGCTGGAGTGCAGTGGCGTGATCTTGGCTCACTGCAACCTCCGCCTCCTGGGTTCAAGCAATTCTCCTGCCTCAGCCTCCTGAATAGCTGGGACTACAGGTGCACACCACCAAGCCCAGCTAATTTTTGTATTTTTAGTAGAGACCGGGTTTCACCATCTCGGCCAGGATGGTCTTGATCTCTTGACCTCATGATCTGTCCGCCTCGGCCTCCCAAAGTGCTGGAATTACAGGTGTGAGCCACCGTGCCTGGGCTGCTGCTATGCCAATGTTTTTACCTATTATATGACTACCCCCCACACTTAATCTTTTAGATTATTTGACAGTAGTCTTCATCTAGTCCCTTTTTAATCATTTCCACAATGCATTTTATTTTTTTCCTCACAAAAGGGTGTTGTTGAGGGTTAGGGACAGTGCACAAATAAATAACATTGTTTGGATATTTGTCCCTGGCCAAATCTCAAGTAGAATTGTAATCCCCAGTGCTGGAGGTGGGGCCTGGTGGGGGGGGTGTTTTGATCATGGGATCAGATCTCTCATGGCTTGATGCTGTCTTCATGATAATGAGTTCTCACGAGATCTGGTCATTTAAAAGTGTGTGGCACCTCCCCGCTCCTCAGTTTCTCTCACTTGCACCTGCTTTCAGCATGTGATGTGCCTATTCCCCCTTTGCCTTTCACCATGATTGTCAACTTCCTGAGGCCTCCTTAGAAGCCAAGCATGCTTAGATCCCGGGGCCATGCTTCCTGTAAATCCTGCAGAACTGTGAGCTAATTAAACCTCTTTTCTTATAAATGACCGAGTCTCGGGTATTTCTTTATAGCAATGCGAGAACAGCCTAAGAGAGTAAACCAAGTGATCATTTGAAGTAGGTCATTAAATATTTGTCATCCACACAAACCCAGGTACTTCCTATTCTGTTTCTCCACAGTGCCACATTCAAATAAACATCAATCTGAAACTGACATTCATGGAAAAGACATTTAATCTTTATTGATATCTATTTAAAATGGATATGTTTCATTCACTTACTACATAGTCCACGATTTTCTAAAATCTCCCACTCTCACTCCTTGGAGATATTTGACTCACCAACAAAAACCTCTCTCACATCTCCAAAAAACAAATTCTCCTTAAAGCTCTTCTATTTTTTTTTTCCTCCTCTGCCTCCCTCTGACCATCCAGATGGAGTCTGTTTTTCTTTACCAGTGATTCTCTTCTGTCCCCACTGTGAATTCACCCAGCAGATCTCAATTATCTCCTTGTTCATTACCATGATGATTCTTCACAACAGAGGGTCAAGACCTCTGGGAGACTCAGAATTTGTAAGAGGAAGCAAGGGAGTGAAAGTGATAGTTATCAGAATTATTTTTTTCTTCTGCCGTATATACTGAAGATAATTAAATTTCCTGAGCATTGTCTCTTTTTTCATTTAGAAGAATGCAGTAATTTGTTAGGTCTCACCCAAAGCTTGTGTCCACCAGTTGTGTGAATGGACTTCCAAAGAAAAAGACTTGGAGGGCAGGTGGTAAGAAGGTTTGAAAGTGGGAAGATGGAAAGGAGATTATTTGTTTGCTTTATAACATTCTCCCGTCCTAGAAAACTTCAAATGGTTTATGTGAGCTCAGACTAATCTAAACATTTTCAACTGTCAATCATAGCATGTTTGTTGATCTAAGATGGACAGATAGTAAGATAATTATTAGAGACAAAAGTTCTACCCTCATCTCTGTTATCTTGGCATTAATTTCCGGGTTTTGTTTTCCAACCTGGCTAAATAAAACTGAGAAAATAAATGCACTCCGATCATTTTAGCTCTTTAAAGGGCATATGTGTGTTTAATGTTTTCTATTTTTTTTTAATGGCGAGGAATCATGGCTTTTTTTTTTTTTTTTTACTTATTCCCTGAAGCAGCCTCTTTCTCTCTCCCATCTCACTGTTGGTTTTTAAGTCTATGTTTTCTAGTTAGCAGTCTCTGTCTCTGAAGTTGTCTTTGTGTGGCTGTTGCTTTTTTAAAAAGAGGGGACGGCAATTAGTTAGGAAAGTCAAAGATACAATCTCTGAATATGTTTTGAATCCTGGGATGGTCTGGGATGGAATGAAGCCCCCATCTCACGATGTTCCCTGACTGTGCCTGCCGGGCCAGAGCACCATGTTGGTGTCCCAGTAAAGATACTGGAAGCTTTCCTCATTCCCCTTGCTGATTTACCCAAAAGAGGACCACATCTTCCCATTTCTTGCCTTACTGGCGGAGATATGGGGGCCCTCCCGGATCCTATTCTTGGCAGTTTCCTCTCTGGACCAATACTGTTTAGGCTCATGGCTAGGGCGCTTGTGTACTTAACCTCTGAAACTATGTTCTAAAGTTCTAAGCTTGTCCAGCCCACCTTATTTTGTTGTTATCGTTGTTGTTCTGTTTTGTTTTGTTTTAGGCTTTCAGCAGCCTGAAGCCCATGTTCCTTACTTTCTGTCTCTAGTGATAAGTGAAAAAGAGGGATCAGGAAGGGGCTTTACTGACCCAAACAGAAACAGAGAACCCATGACTGTATTGTCTTCCACGGATACCCCTGTTTAAATGAAAAGCTCCCCGCTCCCAAAAGAAAAAACTAAGAACCACATTTTGGGGAAGAAGGAGAAACCACCTTGAGGGATGATGTAAAGGCTCCTTTTGAGGTGGTGTAGCACTCTGGTTTTCTTTTCTTTTTTTTTTTTTTTTTTTGAGATGAAGTCTTGTTCTGTCACCCAGGCTGGAGTACAGTGGCATGATCTTGGCTCACTGCAACCCCTGCCTCCCAGGTTCAAGCCACCATTCTTCTGCCTCAGCCTCCCGAGTAGCTGGGATTACCGGTACCCGCTACCACGCCTGGCTAATCCCTTTTGTCTTTTTAGTAGACACGTGGTTGCACTATGTTGGCCAGGCCCGTCTTGAACCCCTGGCCTCAGGTGATCCGCTTGCCTCAGCCTCCCAAATTGCTGGGATTACAGGCATGAGCCACTGTGCCTGGCCGTTTTTCCATTTTTAACCCAAATTCTGCCCAAGTCACAGACACAAAAGGCTTGGCATTGTCCAGTAAGAGATGCCAGTGCTGTATGGCAAGTGCTAGACTTCAAATTAGAACTGATGGATCCTCATTCCAGATATATTACCCTCTGACCACATGACCTCAGAGAAATCATTTCATCTTTCTCTACATTGATGCAATGGGACTAGATGATCCAATGATTCAATTTATGACTCACTCTATGAAATGTGAATTATATGTCATTTTCCTTGTTCTACCATGGAGGGCCTGCTTTCTCAGGAGAACACTATACACTCAGGAAGAGAAAGTCGACTATAAAAATGACTTCAGGTTTTATTCTAAAACATTCTCTCTCCGTAAAGTTTTAAGAATGTGACTGGATGCAATGCTGACCTAGACAAGGCTCTCCAGGGAAGCACTTCAGCTTGGGAGTTAAGAGAAGGTATCTGGTCTCAGTTCTGGTTCCTTCACTAGTAGTCATGTGATGAAAAGCCAGCACTTTCATCTGTGACCATCTGTTTCCTCAGCTATCTATCTCATAAAAACATTTCAGGGACTAAGTTGGTAAAATAAAGAACTTACAACAGCCTGATTTATAATAAGCTCTCAATAAATAGTATTTGTTATTTTCTGATTACTGAAAGTCTTCATGAAGACTGACAAAAGGCTAAGAGAAGGAGCAACAGGGGAATGTGCATGTAGTTTTGATTCATTCAATATATAATGAGTACTTTCCATGTGTTTTGTCTTCTGAGAGCAGTCAGAGATGCAGAGAGTACCATATGGCTTTCAGCTTCAAGGAATCAGGCAGGGAGAGAGAACAACAGGTAAAGAGCTATAGCACATAGTGACAGACGGGATAGCAGAGATATTCCCAATGGACCAGAGTGCAAATGAATGAAAAATGATTAGACACATCAACTCCCACTCCCACCTCCCAGACAGCAAGGTGACATTAACACAAAAACCCAAACTTTACCAATGGCCAGAGACACTAATACGATTTGGCTGTGTCTTCACCCAAATCTCATCTTAAATTGTAGGTCCCATAATTCCCACGTGTTGTGGGAGGGACCTGTTGGGATATAATTGAATCATGGGGACAGTTTCTCCCATACTGTTCTTGGGGTAGTGAATAAGTCTCACAAAATCCGATGGTTTTATAAGGGGTTTCCGCTTTAACTTGACTCTCATTCTCTCTTGCCTGCCACCATGTAAGACATGCCTTTCGCTTTCCACTATGATTATGAGGCATCACTAGCCACATGGAACTGTGAGTATATTAAACCTCTTTTTATATATATATATATTTTAAATATATATTTACATTTTATATATTTTAATAAATATATTTATATATTTTAATATATTTATATATTTTAATATATTTATATATTTTAATAAATATATATTAATAAATATATCTATATAGATTAATAAATATATCTATATAGATTAATAAATATATCTATATAGATTAATAAATATATTTATAGATTAATAAATATATATAGATTAATAAATATATATATAGATTAATAAATATATTTATAGATTAATAAATATATTTATATAGATTAATAAATATATTTATAGATTAATAAATATATTTATATAGATTAATAAATATATTTATATGGATTAATAAATATATTTACATATTAATATATTATATATTTATATTTATATATTTTAATAAATATATTATATATTTTAATATATAAATATTTATACATACATATATATTTATATATTTATATATACATATTTTTAAATATATATATTTATATATTTATATATATATATATAAATATATATATATATATACACACACAGACAAATTATCCAGTCCCAGGTAATCTTTATGAGCAGCATGAAAACAAACTAATACAGGCACTATGCACAGCTATGGCATTTTAAACAGCTGATTCTTTACGTCTGAAGTTAGTATTATAGGGGATTTTTCTGGAGGGCTTGAGGAAAATATGTAATGTAGTGACCTAGTATGAACTATTCAGAATTCACCACTTATTCATGTTTTACTGTTTCTCTAAAGCAAGGGTTTGTTGTTGTTGTTATTGTTGTTGTTTGGAGACAGTCTGGCTCTGTTGCTCAGGCTGGAGTGCAGCGGTGTGATCTAGGCTCACTGTAACCTCCGCTTCCCAGGTTCAAGTGATTCTCCTGTCTCAGCCTCCCTAGTAGCTGTGATTACAGGCACATGCCAACATGCGTAGCTAATTTTTGTATTTTTTGTATAGACGGGGTTTCACTATATTGGCCAGGCTGGTCTCAGACTCCTGACCTCAAATGATCTGCCCTCCTCAGCCTCCCAAAATGCTGGGATTATAGGCGCGAGCTACCACACCTCGCCCACAAGGGTTCTTAATTAAGAGTACACACCTAGACAACCCACTGTGGTTTTGGGAAAAAAAACATCCACACAGTTTATTCTCAATTCTGAAGATTCTCTTTCAGCAGGTCTTAGAGTTGGGCCCAGTCATCTATACTTTTGAAAAAGCTCCACTGGTAACTGTGGTGTGTTCCCTGAGTAAGGATCATTCTTTTAGGTCAGCCTTCCTGAAATATGGTAACTTTTAATTGGGCATCACAAATGTGTACAGTGACTGTGTACTCAAATCTCCTTTGAAGGAATACTTCCTTACCGATGACTTCTTCTAAACGGACAGCCTGTAGAAAGACATGTTTTATTATATCCTATCTTATATCCTTAGCAGAATTGAGAGTACCTGTAGCCAATATAATCTCAGTACATGAATTTCCCAATTCATGATACGATGCATTTGTAATGTATCAGCTAGGCTGAACTACATTTCCCAGAATGGCCTTTCTTTTAGAGTAACCTGCTTTAGCAAATAAAAATGCAGAACACCTAGTTAAACTTGGATTTCAAATAAACGGCAAATACATTTTTAGTATAAACATGTCTCATGCAATATTGGGAACATACTTTACTTTATTTTATTTTATTTTTTTGAGACAGAGTCTCACTCTGTCACCCAGACTGTAGTGCAGTGGCATGATCTTGGCTTACTGCAAACTCCACCTCCCAGGTTCAAGCGATTCTCCTGCCTCAGCCTCCCGGATAGCTGGGATTACAGGCACAGCCACCATGCCCAGCTAATTTTTGTATTTTTAGTAGAGACGGGGTTTCAACATTTGGCCAGGCTGGTCTCGAACTTCTGACCTCAGGTAATCTGCCCACCTTGGCCTCCCAAAGTGCTGGGATTATAGACGTGAGCCACTGTGCCTGGCAGGAACATACTTACACTAAAGCAATTTGTTGTTTATCTGAAATTCAGATTTAACTGGTTGTCCTATATTTTATCTGGCAATCCTACTTTCTTGTATGTCTTTAGTTATAGTTAAAGTTTACCCCAAGGGAGGGTTTTGGGTGATTTGGAGGGATGAAGTAGCAGTTACTTTGCAGTTCAGATACAAGCATACCTTAGAGATATTGGGAGTTTGTTCCAGACCACTGCAATAAAGCTGGTATTGCAAAAAACAAGTCACACAAATGCACTTTTTTGGTTTCCCAGTGCATGTAAAAATTATATTTATAGTATAGTGTAGTCTATTAAGTGTGAAATAACATGTCTAAATATGCAATGTACATACATTAGTTCAAAAATACTTTCTTGACAAAAGTGCTAATGATTATCTGGACCTTGAGTGAGTCACCATCTTTTTGCTGGTGGAGGGTCTTGCGTCAATGTTGATCACTGCTGACTGATCAGGGTGGTGCTTGCTGAAGATTGGGGTGGCTGTGCTAATTTCTTTTCTTTCTTTTTTTTTTTTTTTTTGTTTGAGACAGTGTCTTGCACACTGTTCGCCGGGGCTGGAGTGCAGTGGTGCGATCTCGGCTCACTGCAACCTCTGTCTCCCGGGTTCAAGCAATTCTTCTGCCTCAGCCTCTCGAGTAGCTGGGATTACAGGCACACAGCACCATGCCCAGATGATTTTTGTATTTTTAGTAGAGATGGGGTTTTACCATGTTGGCCAGGCTGGTCTTGAACTCTGACCTCGTGATTCACCAGCCTCGCCTCCCAAAGTGCTGCGATTACAGACATGAGCCACCTTGCCTGACCCTGCAATTTCTTAAAATATGACAACCGTAAAAGTTGTTTTATCAGTGGACTCTTCTTTCACAAAAGATTTCTCCATAGCATGTGATGCTGTTTGATAGCATTTTATCCACAGTAGGAATGCTTCAAAATTGGAGTCAATCCTCTCAAATCCTGCTGCTGCTTTATCAACAAAGTTATATAATATTCTAAATCCTCTGTTATTTCAACAATGTTCACAGCATGTTCATCAAGAGTAGATTATGTCTGAAGAAATCACTTTTTTTCTGCTCATCCATAAGTAGCAATTCCTCACTTGTTAAAGTTTGATCATGAGATTTCAGTAATTCAGTCACATCTTCAGGTCCACTTCTAATTTTAGTTCTGTTGCTATTGCCACCACATCTGCAGTTACCCTCCCTGAGGTTTTAAACCCCAGAAAGTCTTCCTTGAGGGTTGAAATTAACTTCTTTCAAATTTCTGTTAATGTTGATATTTTGACCTTCTTCCTTGAATCATGATTTTTTTTTTCTGTTTTTGTTTTGTTTTGTTTTTTTGTTTTATTTTTTGAGATGGAGTCTCGCTCTGTCACCCAGGCCGGACTGCAATGGCGCTATCTCAGCTCACTGCAAGCTCTGCCTCCTGGGTTCACGCCATTCACCTGCCTCAGCCTCCCGAGTAGCTGGGACTAAAGGCACCTGCCACCGCGCCCGGCTAATTTTTTTTGGTATTTTTAGTACAGACCGGGTTTCACCATGTTAGCCAGGATGGTCTCGATCTCCTGACCTCGTGATCTGCCTGCCTCGGCCTCCCAAAGTGACCATGAATGTTCTTAATGGCATCTTAATGGAAAGAATGGTGATTTCTTTCCAGGTTTTTGCTTTACTTTGCCAAGATCTATCAGAAGAATCACTAACTATGGCAGCTATAGCCTTATTTTTTAAATAATAAGACTTGAAAGTCAAAAATTACTCCTTGTTCTGTGAGCCTCCAGAATGGATGTTGTGTTAGAAGGCATGAAAACACATTCATATTGTGCATATCTGTCAGAGCTCTTGAGTGTTCAGGTGCATGGTCAATAAGCAGTAATTTTTAAAAATAATCTGTTTTTGAGCAATAGGTCTCAACAGTGGGCTTAAAATATTCCGTAAGCCATGCTGTAAACAGATGTACTGTCATCCAGGCTTTGTTTTTCCTATAAAACACAGGAACTTCAGCACAACTTTTAAGAGCCCTAGAATTTTCAGAATAGTAAAGGAGTATTCTCTTCAACCTAAAGTTACTAGCTGTATTTAGCCCCTAACAAGAGAGTCAGCTTGCCCTTTGAAGCTTTAAGGCCAGGCATTGATTTCTCTCTAGCTGTGGAAGTCCTAGATGACATCATCTTCCAACATAAGGCTGTTTCATCTACATTCAACATCTGTTGCTTAGTGTAGCCACTTCATCAATGATCATAACTAGATTTTCTGGACAACTTCTGCAACTTCTTTGTCAGCACATGCTGCTTCACCTTGCACTTTAATGTTATGGAGATGTCCTGTTTCCTTAAACCTGATGAACCAACCTCTGCTAGCTTCACACTTGTCTTCTGCAGCTTCCTCGTGTCTCTCAGCTTTCATAGAATTGAAGAGAGTTGGAGATTTGCTATGGATTAGGCTTTGGCTTAAGGGAAATGTTTTGGCTGGTTTGATCTTCCAGCCAGACCATCAAACTTTCTCCATGTTGGCAATAGGCTGTTACGCTTTCTTTTCATTTGTGTGTTCACTGGAGTAGCACTTTTAATTTCCATGAGGACTTTCCTTTTGCATTCACAACTTGGCTCTTTGACACAAGAAGCCTAGCTTTTAACTTATCTCAGCTTTTAATGTGCCTTCTTCTCTAAGCTTGATAGTTGCTAGCCTTTGATTTCCCATTTGTCCTGAGAAAAGAGCACTGGCAACGAGCTGTACTTTTTTTTTTTTTTTTTCTAAATAGGAAATAGGTTAAAGTGAGTGATGTGTGGCCCTTCCTTTCACTCAGATACTTAGAGGCCATTGTAGGGTTGTTAACTGACCTGGTATCAATACTGTTGTATTTCAGGGAGTAGAGAGGCCTGAGAAGAGGGAGAGAGATGGGGGAACCGCTGGTCATTGGAACAGTCAGAACACACACAACATTAATCATTTAAGTTTGCCATCTTATACGGGAGTGGTTGTGGTGCCTCTAAACATAACAAGAACAATATCCCAGATCACTGATCCCAGATCACCATAACAGATATAATAATGATGAAAAAGTTTAAGCTATTGTGAAGATTACCAAAATGTGATGCATGGACACGAAGTGAGCACATGCTATTGGAAAAATGATGCCAACAGATGTGCTTGATGTGGAGTTGCCACAAACCTTCCATTTGTACAGAAAATACAATATCTGCAAAGCTCTGTAGAATGCAGTGTGCCTGTATGTGGTTGCTGATCTGCTGACCTGCCCCATGGGTATGAAACAGCAGCCACACCTGCAATGACTCTACCTTCCCATGGATCCTCCTTTCATTGTCCTACTCCTAGGCTAAGCCTGTGCATTCAGCTTTGTAATGAAGAGACCTGGCTTCTAGAGGATAACCTCATCACTAAGGTCAGAGGCAACAAGAACTGGCCTGAGTTTCAGTCCCCTTTCGTGAGGTTCCAGTTCATGCTTGTGAGTTTTTACTTAACTTTGATCTCCCCCAACGTATACCCACAATCTCCTTCCCAACTGCCTGCCCAACCTCAAGCTCCAGCCCAGGACCAAGAGATAAGAACCTTACAGGGACTGCTTTACCAGCTCTGACAGTTGTGGAAAGCCAGTTTTCTGTAACAAATCAAAAATTCTCATCAGGACCTCAGGAAGAAGTCCAGGCCAAGGATTCTCCTAAGTGTTCTTAGCTATTGCCTACTTCTATTTTACATAACTGGCTTCGTGGTCCAGGAATGCTTCTTTTTCTCGACAATCACCAAACTGAAGTGCTACGAGGAAGACTGTTACCCTGAGGTCTAATGCATGTGTCTCTGAGAATAAGACAATTTTTCTTAGAGAAATGGAGCAATCACACATGGAGCCCACTGAAGTTCAACCTTCTCTTGTATAATCACATGCACTTGCCAGCCCATGTAGTCAAGCCTGTCTACCCTTGTGATTTTCTACAGATAAATGAGTAGGTCATTCTCTTCTTTACCGTGTTTATCTACAAGGGTACCATCATGATAGAAAAGATGAAAGTGGGACACAAATATGGAAGCATCCATTCACACTGCTCACCCATAAGAGATGGTGGTAAGTCCTCAAGGCAGTTTCTTTTTTTAACACATGAACATATGGTCCCTGTATCATCTCAGGTCATGTCACCCCTGTGGGGTATTGAATCCCTGCTGTTTGTTTATGCCTTATAACATTTATATGTTCAGCTTCAGTGTGTGAATTGTGTTCAGGAAAATGCATGCTTTAACACTAGAGGCATAGATGCAGCATGCTAAGAGGACACTCTGCTTTCAAACATGTGCACTCCTTTGACTATGGAGCTCTCTATAAGAAGCTACTGACTTGCTCCTTCCATTGTACAGAGGATCTCCAATCCTTCCCTCCAGCTGAAAGCTGCTGTATGTGCTATTAGTCCCTTGCTCTCCTCCAATGGCCAACTTCACATTTGCAACAGTCTTCTTTCACATAGTATTTTAAATGTCTCCTGTAGTCTGGGCCAACTCTGTATAATAACACTTGAAGGAAAAAAGATGTATAGAAAAGAAGAAAATAAAACCCACAGAGCTACCTTAAATTCCCAAGAAATCAGAAAATGTCCGTTTTCCATA
The DNA here is from genome assembly GCF_000001405.40 of Homo sapiens. Lineage (NCBI taxonomy): Eukaryota > Metazoa > Chordata > Mammalia > Primates > Hominidae > Homo > Homo sapiens. The sequence continues at coordinate 194,883 of NT_187615.1, read as the reverse complement.
TAAATAGCTATAAAACCCCAGGAGCCACAATTACCCTGCAGACCTGTATGTCATTTGCTGGACCACAATATTTTTCACTCTTACTGAACCCTCTTTCTTAAAGATAAATTTTTCTGTTGATAAAGACATGAGTTATTTATCCAAAGTCTTTTTCAGAAAAACACTTTATCTTCAGGAGTTAGAGAAAATCCTAGGTAATTCTACCGTAACATACCTTTTACTCCACCGCCCGCTCACCAGCCCTGATAGAGATTGGCATCAACTTACATTTAACTCTACTGAATTTGGGAAATCATTCCTACCCAAGAAGCGAGTTTGCAAGTTTTCAGCTTTCCTTGTTCAGTTATCTAGCTGCCAGTTTGGCTTCCCTTTTAGCATTCTTTTTGATTCTGATCTTAGAACTTCAACCTTGAGTTGGGAAAGGAATCCTTTATTTAAATTTCCAGAGTCAAGTAGCACAAATATATCTTCTTGGCAAGACTGGATGTCTCTGCTTTGATTAACTCACCATTTATACTTCTTAATTAATAGGAGGGTTTTTTTTGTTTTTGTTTTTGTTTTTTTAAAAAAAAAGCCAATGTGGGCAACTAAAAGCATTGTATTCTGTTTAATTTGTTTATGCAAGGAGGAAGCTTTGAAGTAACTCTGAAAGGTGAATCCTATTGCTTTAATATGACAGAAGATTTTGTAATTTGCATTTTCTTCCTACCTAACTGGCTGTAAGAGCAAAAGAAGCAAAACAAAATCATACCCTGGAAGTGACAGCAATAAATTAAGGGTAAAGAAATGCAATAAACTGATAGAAACTACTTTTGAAGTACAGCAAAAAGATCATTTCAAGTTTCAACTACATTGGCTTGCCAGGGATTACCATTCGTGCATCTGTGTAGTTTCACTTTGACATAAGGCAGTGTCTGTGGCCACAGTCTTCATGCAGTAAGGAACTGGGAGAATGAAGGTGAGAAGAGGTCCTGATACACTGGAACTTGACCTCAGACTTTGTGGAAAAGGAAGCAAAGGAAACCCAAAAGAGTAGGCACAAAGATGAAGAGGGAGCTGGGGAGAAAGACAAGGACTCCTCGACAGCCCTCTGCTTCACATCTGTTCGCTGCCAGCAGACAGGCGGAGGGCACCCTTGGCCACCCAGAGCTATGCATGCCCCTTTCTCTTCTTACCAATGTGAGTAGAGATGAATGTCTGCGTGGAGGTGTGCCCGGTCCAATCACTGCCTAAATTATAATTGAGAAAGTTCAACTGCAAGTTTATATTTTTTTCAAGCTGGCTTTGTCTGTATCATCAAAATCAGTCTGGGTCATCCCTGCCTCCTGGGGGAGCTCCTTGGCCCTAAGAACTCATTGCACAGAAGGACACTTGATGTGATGATCACTTGTACTTCTTGACTTCATTCTTCCAAGGAAGATGCTTATGTGATCATCACATTGACAGAATCTAATTTGCTTCAATCTTGATTTAAAACATGTTATCATGTTCCATAGATGACACACATTTGTTTTTTTAATGAATATGTCAATGTAATCTCAAACTATTGTCTAAGAAATGGTCACTCACCCTTGCCGTGAAATAAGGGTTAAAGGAAAGCCTTGGGGGTTCTTAAAATGACACTAATATGGTATTTTAGCAGGGCTCATAGATATACCAGAACTGTCTTAAACCACAGCCACCAATCACCACCACTTTTCAAATATATGGATACATATGAAGAACATTAGCAAGAGTACTACTTTGCTATTGGCCGAGAGCTTTGTCTGAATTCCAGTTCATGGTATCTGCTAAGGTGGATTGTAGAATATGGTCTAAGAGACTTTTCATGTTGTTAAGCTCAAACTTGAATCCCTTCACTACAGAACATCTGATGGGATGAAAGAGAATGTAGGCTGCACTAGTGTCAAGTGGACAGCTAAGACATACTGGTAGCACTTCGACATCATTGGTGCAAGAGAAAGCCCTCAGAGAGACAATTACATCCAGATGTGTGACCATTTACACCACAGTGGCTAGATAACTAGAATTTCAGGCTCAATTAAGGCCTTGGAATCTAAGTCATAGTAAATTATCTTCACTGGGAGGAAACAGGGAGAGGGTAAAAATCTTAAAAGTCTCATGCCCTAGAAGCCTACACAGCATGGTTTCTCAGAGAATTTGCTGGATGTGATCTTTAATCAATATTCTTGTCTGTTTTGTCAATGTATAACTATTCATCACAGACAACATGACCAACACTGTGGAAAATATTTTAAAATATAAAAAATTATATGTACCCACAAGGTGTTGATTGTTTATCACACAAGTGAAATAAAATATATTAAAATTCTCATAAGCTGTATTTTGATTCTGGAAAGTCCATCTTAATTTTCCTCATTCTAACACCCTAGCAACTACCCTATATTCTTTGAGATTTTTTTTCACATTATAATTTAGCCCAGTGGTTCTGAATAGAAGGCAGTTTTGCTCCCCAGGGAACATTTGGCAACGTATGTGACTTTTCGGTTGTCACAATTGTGGAGAGGAGGAGGAGGTTGCTGCTGGCATCTAGTGGGGCAGGGCCAGGGGTGCTGTTAAACATCCTATAATGTAAAGGATAGTTCCCACAACAAAGAACTATTTGGATCAAATATCAATAGTGCTAAGGCTAAAAAAGTCAACTTTTTAGCCTATTAAGTCATCTCTCTACTGTATAGACTCTCTCATAGATAAATCTCTGGATATTTTTATTCACAACTCCATGTATTATTTCCATGGGCTTAATATAAATCAATATATATGTAAATATACCTGTATATGTAAATCTCTCTCTCTCTCTCTCTGTGTCTCTGTCTCTGTGTGTGTGTGTGTGTGTGTGTGTGTGTGTGTATGAAACTATATTGGACTTTATGTAGGTCAGGACTGTGAGATGGATTTATTTTTCTTTCTAGAACTGTGCACCAAATTTAAACTTGGGAAAGGGAGAGTAGGAACAACTCAGTTATTTCAAGGATAAATTTGAGCATTTCTAGGCATTGACAGTCTTTTTTCTTCCTCTAATCAGATGGCACAGTTTCACTAGATTTTTTTCTAGTAATTATAAAATGCTGTTTTTATTATTGTTATTTTAATTAGCACTCCCGAGTTTTCTGTTCACACATGTGAAAATCAACATTCATTCTTTGACAGAGTAAACTTAATGTTTGTCCCATCATCCTCACCTCCAGTAAAAAGAGCAAAAAGATCTGCCAGTAGCCATAAAATAAGTCCTGGCAGGCAAAAATTTTCATTTCTATTTTTAGGAACTAAATCAGCTGTCCTATGAGCTAGAAATATGCATGGAATCTTCAATTTTACTTTGACATTTTTAATTTGCCTTATTTTCATAATCTTTATTTTAAAAATTTGTTTCTACAAGCAATTATTTTATTGTTTTCAAAAAATTGTGACTGATGTTCATTATACAAATTCCAAACAGAGAAGGAGAAGTCAAGGCAGACAAAACCTGATTTCCCCAAATTCAGCATTGACTATTACACGTGCATCCTGACAACTCACCCTGCACACATACAAAGAGATGGTTGGGTGGATGCATCTATAAAGAGAGAGGGAAATTTACTATGCAGGAGATATCTTTATATAATACCTTCATTTTTCCATGAGTGTAACAGAAGAAAAACTAAAATAAAGCTTAATTAACCTCTAGGCTATGGATACCTGTTTCGTAAACACCAGTGACATCAGTTCTTAGCATATTCCTCTTAGGCAGTAGTTTTCAACCTTGACTGCACACTGGAATCGGCGGAGAACACTTTAAAACCCAGTCTGCACCCAAGAGCAATTAAATCAGAATCTCACTGGATGGGACTCAGGTATTAGTATTCCTGAAATCTCTCAGGTAATTCGAATGGGCAGCCAAGGATGTGAACACTGCTCTAATATTAAGAAAAAGGTAATTATGAAAATATTCCAGAGTTAAAAATCTGTTTATCTTTTTATTTTTGAACTCCATCAGTTGACTTGGTGCTATGTCATAGGAGATTAACAATCTTAATCCTCCTCCCGCTCTTCCCACTGCCTTCTCATTTTGTAATATTTTTACTTTGTCAGGGTTTATAAGACTTATTGTGTGTGCCAGTGAAGTTGCCCCAGTCAGGGGAGTATCACCAGAGATGAGAGAGTATATTTTAGAACAATAAAACAGTGCCTGCATTCATCTGTTCTCATGCTGCTAATGAAGACATACTCAAGACTGGATAATTTATAAAGGAAAGAAGCTTAATTGACTCACAGTTCCACATGACTGGTGAGGCCTCACAATCATGGCTGAAGGCACATGAGGAGCAAAGTCACACCTTACATGGCAGCAGGCAAGGGAGAGGATGTACAGGGGAGCTTCCCTTTATAAAACCATCAGATCTCATGAGACTTATTCACTATCATGAGAACAACATGGGAAAGACCCACCCCCATGATTCAATTACCGCCCACTGGGTTCTTCCCACAACACATGGGAATTATGGGGTCTACAATTCAACATGAGATTTGGGTGGGGACACAGCCAAATCATATCAGTGCCCACGTATACAGCGTGTATGGAGAAAGAGTAAAGAATGGCAGTGGGTTACCCATGCAGGGAGAAATCCCAAACCAGAGGCTCCCATGTGACTTCTTACTCTATAATCAATGAATTAATTATGTTTACTTTGGGAAAAAGAAAAATTGATTATCAACTGTATCTTAGATATCTTTTTAAACCATGATTTAATGATCGTAACCTGTGGATGAAAGTGCTTCTTTCAGACAGATTGTTTTCAACTACTTATAGGCCAGAGATTCTCTTAAATTTCAGGTGAGAGCTATGGGAATTCTCCTCAGGAAAACATAATAATTACCCCAATGTACAGGGTCCTGAGTCAATTTGAAATGGTTCACAGACCTCAGGTCAAGAAGAAACCCTGCTTTAGATACTCTGCCTTACCTGTTTTCTTCTCTGCTAATTCACTGATCAAACTACATTAGCAACAATGAAACCTTCCCAATGTAGGAATAGGTTTCTGATTGAGGAGGAAATGTAGGAACACATCCCAATGAATGCTACTTGAGAATGTATATCTTTTTAAATTTATTTATTTATTTATTTTTTAGTGTTGCTACCTTGTTCTCATCACAAAAGATTCAAACATACACAAAACATTGCCGGGCAGCCCAGGCAATTAGGACTACAATAAAACAAGGGAAGAGGCTTTTTCATAGGGACTAGAATACAACTTAGGGTCTTACCTTAATTGGTTCTCATGCTGCTAATAAAGACCTACCCAAAATGGCATGATTTATAAAGAAAAAGACGTTTAATGGACTCACAGTTCCACATGGCTGGGGAGGCCTCACAATCATGGTGGAAGGTGAAAGAGGGGCAAAGTCACTTCTTACATGGTGGCAGGCAAGAGAGCTTGTGCAGGAGAACTCTCATTTATAAAACCATCAGACCTTGTGAGACTTACTCACTATCACAAGAACAGTATGGGGGAAACTGCCCCCATGAATCAATTATTTCCACCTGGGTCCACCCTTGACACGTGGGTATTATTACAGTTCAAGGTGAGATTTGGGTATGGACATAGCCAAACCATATTAGATCTCAAGGCATTATGTCTAAAAAACAAAGATGGGCCACTTGAGGGAATGCCAGTTAGTCTAGGGTATTTTCAAAGCTGTGCAGGTCTTTCCTCGCGTTGGAAGAAACTCACTTTTCATGAGATACCAGTACACAACTAAATCCTGATGGGCAGAGGTCTTTGGTATCAGAATGCTGAAAGGCTTCCAACATTAATGCTACTGCCACTTCTTTTTCTTCTCTCTGATATAGTCCCTTCCATTCCCACCTTAAAGGCACTGGACAAGACTAGGAATTGACATATTTGGGCTCCATGGTAACTTCCAGAGAATTGCCCTATTTTTTTTTTCTTTGAAGATCATGCCATGAATTGATACTGCATTCTTCCAACCTTGAGGACAGTATCTTACCTTGCTTTGTACCTTCAAAGCAGTTAGTCTTTCTCTTAATAATAACAATTAAACTCATCCTTCACACCTTTATAGCATTCTGGGGTCAGTGTTCCTTTATTTTCTTGGATCCTTTGATCTCTGTTGTCTCTGTTCATGATCCAGTCCCAAGTGTGGCCACATCTTAGATCTCATCATTATCAGAGACTGGCCCACTTAGAAGGTCTCAGAATGTGAAAATTCCCTCTCAGAGAATGACCTCCTTTCCATTTGTATTTTACACTCCATTATGCATGCTAGGCATTCTATTCATTTTCAGAGTAATTAAGTCTCAGTGGTTTAACAACAGAAGCTCACTTCTCATTCACACAAATCCAGTGTGGGTTGGCAGGGTCTCCATCTGGGATCCAGTCTCCTTCTACCTTGTAACATTATTGTTTCAATCCATACATGGCTTCCAAAAACACTTCAAGAGTGGGAGATTGGGATGGAGAAGACACAGCAACCTTTTTCTGCCTCACACTGCAAGAGATGCACTTCGTTTCTGTTCCCAGTTTTTTTGAAGTGAACAAATCACCTGGCCTCCAAAAAACTGTCATGGAGAAATGCACAGAATCCAGTGGATATTTGTTGGATAGTGACTGTCTCTGCTGCTCCCATTGTGCTTTCCAGTCTCCTGAGGTCTTCCCTACATGTCTCTTTTATTCTAGCTCCACTTACCTGCTTTATCAGTCAGGACCATGTGGCTAGTCATGTCACAAAAATGCTAACTCTCATAAAAAAGCCAACAAAACTTTCCTCAGAAATTTCTCTGTCCTCGCCTTATCAATCCCATATTTTGTATCCCCAGGCAACGTCCATTGTACTTTATCTCCTCTTCCTTTTATGATTGTCCAAGTCTGGATACTGCCATAAAATCATGTTAATTTGACCCAAGGAAGATTAATTCTATGCAATTCCAGGAAGGTCACAATTCATCTCTTGTTGATTTCATATTCATCTCTAGTTGACTTTATTCTGTGACCATTTAAACCTTTTCCACATTTTTAAGATTGCCATCTAATCCATGTCTCCTCAATTTCCACACATGGATGGATTAATATTCAATGTTAATGAAAGGGTAAAAGGTCTGTGACTAACTTGGTGAGAACTTCCTCAACCCTTTTATTCTCAACATTGTATTTTCATCTGTCTCATCTTCCTTTGTCCCTATCTTTTAAGAAACAGTCTTCTTTCCTTGCTAAAACCACATTCCTTCATTTGTTCTTTTAATTTGCGTATCTTCATTAACCATATGGTGCCTTGTTCCATTAATAGTCACAATCTTGGGCTAGGCATGGTGGCTCACGCCTGTAATCCAGGCACTTTGGGAGACTGAGACGGTTTGATCACCTGAGGTCAGGAGTTGGAGACCAGCCTGGCTAACATGGTGAAACCCTGTTTTTATTGAAAACACAAAAAATTAGCTGGGCATGGTGGCAGGCACCTGTAATCCCAGCTACTCAGGAGGCTGAGGCCTACAGGAGAATTGCTTGAACCTGAGAGGTGGAGGTTGCAGTGAGCCGAGATCATGCCACTGCACTCCAGCCTGGGCAACAGAGCAAGACTTTCCAAAAAAAAAAAAAAAAGCCACAATCTTATTTAAACCTTCCCTTGCCATAGACTTCTTAGCTATACACACACTAAATACTTGCTTGGTTCTGATTTTTTTTTCTCTGATATCCCTTTAGGCTACAGCTTAGTTCTCACCTGTTTTTTAGTATTAAATATCATAATGGAGAAGTTTCTATCTGGTACTTCTTGCAAAATAGCTTCATCCCCAACCACTACCACCTCCTTTGTGTAAAAACTACACATTTAGATGGCTGTTAGTGGCTTCCTAATCACTGGATCCAACAATGTTTCATCATTCTTGATATCATTCAAACTTCAGCAAAGTTTAATCGTTTTTACCATTTAATAATTCCTTTTACCTAATTTTCATCACATTGTATGTGTAAATTTCTTCTTATGCTTTGATGATGAATTCTATTTATAATTTTAAAAAATAATTGCCTCCCTCCTTTCTCCTACTAAAACTCAGAATCTATTTGTTTCAAATAGAATAAAACTTTACAGAGTCATTATCCATACTGAGCTGTATTTCATGGTATACCTCTTATAGAGGATACTACCTAACGTATCCAATGCTTCACTGCCTGAAGCTAAATACAAATTCCTGCTCTTTCTGGTTTTTATTTCCCTGAAACATGTGGTCTCCAGCTAATTAGTAACAGTCCGAGGAAAATCCCACTATTGCATCCTGGATCTTGTGACCTTTGACACACAAGAGAAACTTTGAACCCATGATGTTTTGATGTTTGAAAACCAAATCCAAATAAAATAAAGCCAAAGTGAAGAGCTATATCTGGAGGTTGTTTATCAGCTCAAAATTGTTGGAGAGAGGTTTGTCATAGACCCAAAGTCAAGTCTATGGAGGTGAAAGGAAATAGAAAATTGGCTGTTGTGTTGAAATGTGCTAATTTGTATGATCTAAGAAGAAAAAGTGGAAATATGGATCCATTGTGACACTTTGCAGCTCCTAATAAGAGTGATATTGGCAACATTCATCTCCTTGAAGATTTTATTTATTTCCAAGCACTCGATCTGAAATTCTGATTGCTATCAGCAGAATCGTTTGTGGAATGGCATTCTTCTTTATAATTCAAGATTTTGTCATAATTTGTGCATCTGTGGATTCATTTCCATTAATATTGTTCAAAACAGGTGGAACCTGTTTAATTTCCATTTTAAGGTGTTTAGGTTTGAGTTTCAGAAAATACTATTTAATTATGGATTTGGTTAGTGCTTCTCTTGCTAGTGATTCCCCTACTCAGTTTTTTTCGTCCTTGGAAATAGCTGTATTTCTTAGCTTCGATATCTATCATCTGTCCTCTCACCACTGTCCTTTTCCTCCTTATTTTAGACAAGCTTATCAAGTTTGGTTTGAAATTACTGATTCAAAATGTTTGCATGTCATTTCTGCTTTTTAAAAGTCTACAATGCAGATTTTCATTTTGCTGTCGTACTTTTAGTTGCCATGCAATCCTTTCCTGTCTCTTCTGGATTTATGTGTGTGTCTGTGTGTGTGTGTGTGTATTGTATTGTTTGGATTTAGGCTTGTTGCGTTTGTTGCTAATTCTTTTTGTCTATTGATTTCACTTTATTTGTTAACAGTAGTCTGTCTGCTTACTTATGGATTTCAACTTTTGCCTTATAGAAGACAATTCTTGTATCCTATTGAGCATTATCTTTTGATTCCTGGATTACATCTTTTTCAGAAGCATATTTTTGTCTGACTTGAGCGTTTTTTTTTGTTTTGTTTTGTTTTTTGAGACAAGGTCTCACTCTGTTACCCAGGCTGGAGTGCAGTGGCATGATCTCGGCTCACTGCAACCTCCACCTACTGGTTTCAGGTAATCCTCCCACCTCAGCCTCCCAAGTAGCTGGGACTAAAGGTGTGCACCACCATGCCCAGCTAATTTTTATATATTTTGTAGAGATGGGGTCTTGCTATGTTGCCTGGGCTGGTCTCAAACTCTTGGGCTCAAGCAATCAGCCTGCCTTGGCCTCTCAAAGTCCTGGGATTACAGGTGTAAGCCACTGTACCTGTCATGTCCTGGGTTTTTATGAGGTTTTTCTTTTATTTTATTCTGAAGTCCTTCTACCTTTGGGCTCCATTTAGTTGTTTTTTCTTTTTATTCTTACTTGTCCTTAAATAAAGAGAGAAATACATCACTTAGTGTTTGCAGACTGACAGGGTGTATAGAATGCTCTTGTTTCCACTCCCGAGATAGTAAAGAGCAAGCTGTCAGTTGAAGACCCTGTGCATGGTAAACTTTCATCTCACACAGCTATGCTACACTGAGGTAAGAGATGCTCCTGTTGCCTGAGTCTATAGAACATATATCTTCACCTAATGACTTTGAAATAGACTTTTTCTAAAGATACTGACTGTGTTTTAATTATGGATGCGTTTTGTAGGGTATGATGAGTAAGTCAACCACTGCTGTATGCACGCTCCATCCCTATTCTGAACACTTTCCCTTGGAAATAGAGTCCCAGACAGATGGAGTAGTGTAACAGTTGGGAAGAGGGGGAAGTGGAGGAGAGACACACAGATTTCATGTTATTTCAAAGAAATACTATCTTAAAGTAAAATAATGGTTGTCTAATTTTGAAATTGGTAGCCATTTTGCTTTTCTTAGGGAGTAGTTAAAATGGCATGAATATGATATATGTATAGTCCCTCTTGTATTCAGGCAGGACTCTTCTTTTTCATGTGTAAACAGCCAGTTTTTCTTCCAATTCAATTTCATTCATCTTGTGCTTGATAAAATTTCCTTTCAATTTCAGCAAATTTTTGTCTAGTAATTTGGAGTCGTTGTATTATGAATTTACTGCTTTATTGAAGGATGGAGGTAAAAGCTGTCTTTTTTTTTAAATATATTATGACTGGGATGTTGTTAGAAACCATGCCAAGCTAAATAACTGTTATTTAGAAACTAAAGAAGAATATGCTTTCAACCAAATGATATGATTCTCTTTAAAAAGTAAATAAAGCCGGGCATGGTGGCTCACACCTATAATCCCAGCACTTTGGGAGGCTGATGCCAGTGGATCACCTGAGGTTGGGAGTTTGAGACCAGCCTGACCAACATGGTGAAAACTCATCTCTACTAAAAATACAAAAATTAGCCAGGCATGGGTGGTGGGAGGCTGAGGCAGGAGAATCGCTTGAACCCAGGAGGCAGATGTTGCAGTGAGCCAAGATTGTGCCACTGCACTCCAGCCTGGGTGACAAGAGCAAAACTCTATCTCAAATAAATAAATAAATAAAAATAAAATAAGTTATAGTTTCAAATGGCAGAATCTCATTTTTTTAATGGCTGAATTGTACTCCATTCTGTATATGTACCACATTTTCTTTATCCATTCGTCTGTTGATGGACACTCGGGTTGCTTCCAAATCTTGGTTATTGTGAATAGTGCTGCAATAAACGTGGGAATGCACATATCCCTTCATTAGACTGATTTTCTATCTTTTGGGTATATACCTAGTTTCTACTATGAGAGCTACTCATTAGAATTATTAGAATATTAGCTGGGTGCGGTGGCTCACACCTGTAATCCCAGCACTTTGAGAGGCCAAGGCAGGCAGATCATTTGAGGCCAGGAGTTCGAGACTACCCTGGCCAACATAGTGAAACCCCGCCTCTACCAAAAAGACAAAAATTAGCCACGGGTGGTGATGCATGCCTGTATTCCCAGCTACCCGGGAGGCTGAGGCAGGAGAATCTCTTGAACTCGGAGGTGGAGGTGGAGGTTGCAGTGAGCTGAGATTGCACCATTACACTCTAGCCTGGGTGACAGAGTGAGACTCCGTCTCAAAAAAAAAAAAAAAAAAAAAAGGCTGAAGGGAAGCTCCAGAGATCATTAAATCTGTCTCCCAGGTTTCTGAAACAACTCTATCTAAATTGCCCTATGTATCTCTCTATAGAAATGAGGACTCCAAAGGGACAGACTCCCTCCCAGGTAACTGCCCCATTTCCCAAGTCCCAGTTCTTTCTGGGGCTTGGTTTTAGATCTAAAATCTGTGGTCAGATAGGTGATGGTTGTGATCTCTGGAGTAACCCCTGTGGATCCTTATGCAAGGAGACTGTCCCCACCAATACCACCAAGCCTAGAGGCAGGTGAAGGTGTTAACCTTCTTGCTCCACTGCCAGCAGGCTTCCAGCTGTCAGTCTTCTGGTATTTCAATGCCCTGGATCCCAGGCAGCTTGTTATAAGGGCTGGACTTATAACTGCACCTGGCCAAGGGCTGGACCTTTCTGTGGGGTCCTCCTGGGAAAAGCCTTCAGTGGCTTTAGGAACATGAAGGATTTGCTCACAGGATCTCAGTCCTCATCTCAGTCTAACCAGGGGTCTGAGAACCAGACCCTGAAAAAATGTAACTACAGAGGTTTTATTTTCCCTAAAAAGAATTTTGTACTTTGATAACTGTAACTATCCATTGACCGCCCCCAGCACACATATTTTAAAGTAAAATTTCAATGACCTGTGAAAAGATAGGCTATATTAGTAGTAGGAGCAGGGACTTTTCTATCTCTATATCAATGTGGTGCATGTGTATGTATGTTTTTCTTCATAACTGAAGATTTCTTATAGTTTATTTAGACCAATTCTGCTTGCTTACTTTCCCAGAGGGAGAAATGATTTAGTCTGGATTAGTAGCATAAAACTTGATTTTCTTATGTTTATGTGAACCTCCTGGAGTTATAGGAAGAGGTGGTGATGTGCTGAGATTGGTAATGATTGGTAAAAGCTGTTCTGCAGGCGAACCAAACTGGGATATTCATTTCTAAGACCGAGTATAGATATAGAACACTAAGTATCAATGTTTTCTTGTGAGGAATTTGAGAAAGCACCCACGTTTCAGGTGAGGTGAGAGATGGCTTGTAGAGAACCATCACTGGGGCAGGAAGAGCCAGCACCTTCTAAGCACCAATCAAGCAGCTCATTGGCAGACAAGAGCAGCTCATGTGTGACCTGTGGAGTTGGCCTGATTCTGTCCAGAGCCCTGCTTCTTGAAAAAAAGGAGGGTGCCTCTCAATACCCTTGCCAGGTCTGGCAGGGGCTACTGGAATGCTGCAGATGAGATTGCTGGCAAAAGTGGTCCTCGGCTCATTCTCCTGTGACAAGAGAAAGTGGGGGATGGATGCAGAATGAACTTGGCCCTGAGTCATGCTGGCTTTATGGAGGCTATAAATCTTCTCTTTCTGTTTTTAGAAGCCAGGCCATTACTTGTTCTTTCTGTGTCTGCTATCTACTTCACTGCTGGTGATTTTGAGAGCAGCGTCTGAAGTCTTCTTGCATCCTAAATTGATACAATGAAGTTTGGTAAATGTAACGAGAAAATATAATCATTCACCTGGACATTAAATACTGCTTTTTGTATTCCTTGGTCTTTGAAAGTTCTAGTTAGCAAAGGTCTCAAGAAATCTCATAGCAGATAGCCCAAATATAAACAAACAAAAACAAATGAATAAACGAAACCAAAAAATAACTTTCCTACCATTTGTATCTGTTAGAAAATGTAATTTTTTAATTCATGTCATTCCAATAGTTAGACTAGTTTGATATTCAGCATGTTTTACCTGTATGTTTAAAATATTGTTTTTAATTGTATATTTAATTGACAAATTTACTTATGTGGGTATGTGTGTATTTGTATATTAATGGATTAACTGTATCCTTAATATCTTTCTGTCTCCATCCCCATTTACATTTTAAATTTAAGGCTGAACTCTCATTCTAATTAACCTCAGTAACGTCTCTTTTTTAATCCTTTCATAATGATTAATATCACTGTGCATAGGCCAACTACATTAGAGATTGAAAGAATATAGCAGATATTGTTGATTAAATACAACAACCATCTCCTACTTCTCTTTTACTCCTTACAAGCAAAATCAATTCCATTTTTCTCATCTGCTCTGATTAAGAAATGATGTGTACAATTGTGGTCCATGTGAAGTGTGAGGAAGTGTGCTAAGGAGTTTCTAGGAAGGTTGTGTGGCTAAGTAAGAGAAGGCATCACAAAAGAAGCCTCGCCTGCCCCTGCTGGTCATTGCTGTGTCTGCTTGTGATGCCTGGGCCCTTAGCAGCTGTGTGGCAGTGCTAAAGGGGACAAGCCAAGGACATGGCCCGTAGGGTGAGGATGACAGAGCAGCAAGAGGGAAGTGATCAGTCCTTGATGACATCGTTGATCCACTGAATTATTCAGTCCTGGATCTGCCCCACCTGAGACTTATTGACACATAAAATAACAAGGCTCATCGGCTTATCATTTAACCAGTTTAATGTGAAGTTTTATTTTATAAGGTTGACAACATTCTAATTGAACTGAAGAACAAAACTTACTTGTTAAGCCCTTAATGTGTGTGTGCATTCAAGTTCTAACAGGATTTAAAGTACCAAATGGTTGGGCAGCCCCTGAAAGCCAGGAAGTGTGAACATTGGACTTGCATTCAAATCTCAATCCTGAAAATATTTATTTGTCTGGATTGTTTCAATCAACTCTAGGTGCCTCAGTTGTGTCATTTGTGGGTACAGGATACTAATAATGTCTATCCTCTTCCACTTAAGTTGTAGTCACTACATTGAGCATATTAGTTCAAGAAGAAAATAACTGAATTTCCTCTTTCTGTTTAAATGCACACTGTGGGTATCATACTTTTCTTCTCTTGAAATGGAATCTCAGGCATATCCTAAGAGGTGTATGTGTGTTTCTTAGAAAATAAAAGAAAAATTTTCTAGTTATTTTGTTCATAAAAGGTGCATCACTTGGTGACTAAAATATAACATCCTGTGTAATAATCACAAACCCTTTGGCCCCAAATAGCTTATGGGGCTGGTTTCACATAGGTGAAGAAATATGATGATGCTCTTTACGTAGAACACAGCTGGGATTTTGGACTAACATGTACCCAAGACTGAGACTAGGAAGAGAAGCAGCTCTTCTACGTAGCCACTGTGCAGCAAAGCAGGTTTCTGCTGCTATCCAGGAAAACTAGGGAGCTCAAGCTAAACCATGCACTTCCATTAGCATGTGTATTTGAAAAGTGGGAGTACATTTAAGTGTGTTAGTCTTTGCAATCGGTGGGGCTCTTTCTTCTTGGGATTTCTGCAGTACTGATCTTGTGCTGTAAGACAAGCTACCAGGTGAATGACTTTTGCCACACATTGTGATATGATTTGGTTGTGTCCCTACCCAAATCTCATCTTGAATTATAGCTCCCATAATTCCCACGTGTTGTGGGAGGGACTAGGTGGGAGATAATTGAATCATGGGGGCGGTTCCCCCATACTGTTCTTGTGGTAGTGAATAAGTCTCAAGAGAGCTGATAGTTTTATAAGGAGAAACCCCTTTCACTTGGTTCTCTCTCTTTGCTTGCTGCCATGATTGTGCAGACTCCCCAGCCACATGGAACTGTGAGTCCATTAAACCTATTTTTCTTTATAAATTACCCAGTCTTGGGTATGTCTTTATCAGCAGTGTGAAAACAGACTAATATACGTTGTTAGTTGGAATTCACTATGGTAACCCACAGAGGCCCTAATAGTACCCAGGAGTTTGTATCTAGTTTCCCCAGAACAGGCGAAGTCACCCACCCCAGTTAATAATGTACCTTCCTGACTGCACCTCAGAGTTTAAGTCGCCTGTGGGCAAAAGGAATGGTTGCTACTCAAGAGTACTATGAAAATGACTGAAACTGAGGGTGAATCGGGCATTTTAGTGAAGACCTAAATCCAACTTGGTTTTACTTTTTCTTGCTTTTACTCTGCATTTGAAAAATAGTCATAACTGCACAGCTTATCTAGGAGGTCTACATAACAATAAAGGGTAAAAGACATTTGGGAACGTAGGAATCATTAAATTATTTCTCATTTAAGTGTCATAAACTGCATTCTTTTACTGTAATACTGTTCAAGGGGCAGTAATCAAATTGTGTCACATTTTCCATGGACGCTGCCATCAAGGTGTGAAATATTGCCTCCCTGGTGATTGGATGGAATTGGGGTTCAAGGTGAGGTGGCCATTATCCAAGACACCTGCCCCCACTTGAGCTGTACACGCATGAACTATGACTCACTGACACTTTCTAGTAATCATTAATCTCTTATGTGCTTTTTCTTCCTTACATTTTGGACAAATGACTTTTCAAAGAGATGGAAGGAGATGTTATCCATAGAAATAACTTGCAGTGATATCAATAACTTCATAAGGGAATGATAACCATATTTAAATGTAAAGATGATTACACATAGCTCAAATGCTGCAGAGAGTTAATTGTAAATGTTTCTAACTTATGTCCAACTATCACAGTCTTTTCAAAAGACAAAATGATGGAAACCATACAGTATTACTAAAGACGAGGACACAATACAAACACAAAGGTACAAAGCATCTTTCGTAGTAGGTTTCTTTTACTCAGTTTATTATGCTTATTTCATTGCATATAGTTGTGTTGTATTACCATTTGTCATCCCTGGAAAACAGAACTTTTTCTGCAGAGATCCTTCTTTCTTCAATTCGATATTCTCAGAACTCAGCACAGCATTTAACAAATACATAAAAACAAGATTATAAGTAAATTGTCTGGGCATGGTGGTTGACACCGATAATCCCAGCATTTTGGGAGGCTGAGATGGGAGGATCACCTGAGCCCAGTTTGAAACAAGCTTCGGCAACATAATGAGACCCCCATCTCTTCAAAATAAACAAAATTAGTTGGGGGTAGTGGCACATGGTTCCAGCTACCAACATGGTTCCAACTACTTGGGAGGCTGAGGTGGGAGGATCACCTGGGCCCCAGAAATCAAGGCTGCAGGGAACTGTGATTGTATTACTGCACTCTAGCTTGGGTGACAGAGCAAGATCCCATCTCTAAAAACAAGCCAAAACAAAATAAAATTATAAGCAAATAAATTAAGAACTAATATCACTATAGGGACCACAAATACTAACTTGAGAAGACATTTTTATTTTTCTTTGGGGCAATTTTAAGAGTTTTTTAAATCATTAAATTGCATCCATGAAAGATTCTAAGACAGGTCTATTCTGACAATATAGAACATTGAGAGGATATGTAAATTATGTAAATGAGTTATTTAAATTTGTGTTTAATTTGTACTCTTCATTGGGTTAAATGTCTTATGTGTTGTTTATTGGTGTTTCTGCTTGTTTTCCTTTTAAATGCATTTTGTATGCTTCTAATGAACAATAACATAATTGAATAAAACTGAACATACATAATTATTTTAAAAGCATTTATTATGATAATGATATGGTAGTGATAAGAAATAAGAACTCTTTTGATAAGAAAGTGAAAGTCAATAGAAATAAATGTGGTTTAGTTCTTAGCCAAGCTCTATTTGACTGAAGATTTTGTGTTGAGCTGTGCCTCATTAAAAAAAACTTCATTTAAAATATGTATTTTCAAGAGACAATGGAGGTTGAAACCTAAGTTATATGGTCACTAACACACAAAATAGCTTTACAGTTCCCAAAGTCTTTTCAGTTCCACCTGCTTGTATCGGCTTTACAATAGCCATGCAACAGAATAAGATTGGCGTTCCCTTCATGTAAGCGGTAAATGTAAAGTCAGAAGTCAAACCCTATACTTTAGTTAAATTTACAAAATATTTTCACTTTCTCTTTAGGAGTTGTCATGTTTCTTGCAAATGCTTTTTCTACTTTTTTAAAAACATACATTTATTTTGGAATTTCTTGAAATATTAAGACCCCTTAAATGGCTTCTGAATCAGGGTTGATTTGCTATCATTTTTGAGGACTGAGACTACTGCATTAAAAAAAAAAGTTGTATCAACTCATAAAAGGTCCAGCTACAAAAGAAAGAACATTTCAGCCTTTTGCTTTTTGATTACCAGCTGAAATATAGAATAATAGAATCCAATATATGTTTGAAGTCACTAATATTCAATAAATTATGCCACTGAGTTTAGATATACAAAACCCAGAAGGTTAGAAAGGGCATTGCTATGTCTCTTGTCCTGTCATTGATTCAGGGCTTTTTAAAGATAATAGTCACTAATAAAAAGGAATGCAAAGTAAATATTTATACTTCTATGTTTTCTAGAACATAGAAGTTTTGGGAATATATTTAATACTCATAAAAAATGTAAATAACTAGACAGAGATGAGTTGTCATTCTTCTTTAAAATTCTTTATGTAAAAGTGGATTTGTATGGATGAAGTCCAGTTTGGTGGCAGCAAGATAACTTTGAACCAGGAGGCGCCAGAGAACACAGCATAATTTATGTTTTTATCCATGCATGAGGAACTGGGAAAGTTGTTTGTGCCAAACCGTAACTGGGAAATGCAAGAAATATAATGTCAGGATAGAGAGGAGTAAATTGACAAGATTAAACATTTCCCGTTCTATAAGGTTTACTATGGCACATGTGCAGTAATGTACATTGCAGAGCAATGTAAATGAATTCAGCATAATGTAAGCTTTACAGGTGGCAGCTATGGATCAGGAGGCCTTGGTTTGAATTGTGGTTCGATGACTCAGTTTGTTTGAATGCTGGTAAGTTGCCTAAACCTTTTCGAAGCCTGAATTTACTCATTTGATAAATGGAGATAGAGCCTGAGGAAGAAATGCAAGGCTTGTAAAATTTTGGGTACAATAAATAATAACTATTACTATTGTTATTATTAACGTAAATACCTAGGTACTTGGGTATCAAATATGACACATTACATTTCCCTGATGGGAAATCAGTGTCGATATAGGAAGTAATTACTACCCTTTTATCACTTATATACTTGGTACTTCCATTTCACTCTAAACAAAAAACCACCGTCTGCCCTTTTAGCTCAATCTAAATGCAATGCATGTTAAAGATCCCACGGTAAGTAAGATAAGTAAGTACTGATTTAGAGCAATCAGTAAAAATCTGCCAGGTAGTAAAACCACAGCCTAGTTTCAATGGGTATCACTTGTCTAATAATTGGCCTTCAAAACCATTTGTAACTTAATCTTGAATTCCACCAGATGTTGTATGTGATGATATAACATTTTTTTCTTTAAGTATAGCCCACATACTCGGCATATACTGTGTTTCCCTTCGCCTTCCCTAATCATAACAAGCCTGTGGGATATGCAATGATAGCATAATCGAGGTTGCCCAGATGGTCTGAAATCCGTTACTCAGCATTAATTGTGGGGGAAAACAAAACAAAACAAAACAAAACACTATCGACTTTCAAAAAGTGGAAACTCCTTTCCAAAGCTAAGCAAAAAGTAAAGGAGCACAAATCATTTACTAGTTAAAGGAGAGAAGAGAAGAATGTGGCTCACTGGTCTTAGGAAACAGAGTAGCAAGAACAAACTCTGAAGTGCAAAGATGTATCTCATTTTCATATCTGCACAATTAAACTCTGGGGAACTTTTTGTATAGAATGCTCACATGTTATACTTTGATTCAAAATGAGTTTTATTTTTGCTCCAAATCATTCTCTTTTTGCATTGTTTTAGGTCCACTTGCCTTATATACCTGTCATCAGTTTTAGGAGATCTTTGCCAATATTAATCCATCCTAAAGCCCGATATTATAGTCTATTCTCAACACAGCAGTCAGCACAATCGTGCCAAAACTTCAGTGATATGATGCCACCGATGTACTCAAACCCTTGGAGACTCTCCATCTCCTTGATTGCAAAAGCTTAATGCCTGGTAATGTCTTCATCCTCTGGTCCCTGGGTGGTGTCTTATCTTGCACCCTCCAGGATTCCCTCACTCCACTCCAGCTGCTTTATCAACCCCCACACATGCTCATGGGTTTTGCCCTTGCTCCTCCCTCTACCTGGAATACATTTCTCTGGAATACTTGCTTTGCCCAACCTTCCACCCCTTTATCTTTTCAGTGAGGATGACTCTGAATACCCCATAGGAAAATGCAGTCCATTCCCCAACGCTTCCTAATCCTATAGCTAACTTTATTTTTCCACATATCACTTATCACTCTAACATATTATATATATAATATGTATTGTATATATACAATAATACATGTTGTATATATACAATATTGTATATATAGGTATGTATATTATATATTGTATATATACATATTCTATATAATATGTGTTGTATAATACATATTATTCCATGATATATAACAATACATACTATATAGAATATGCATTCATATACATATTCTATGTATACATATATACCTATTATATGTATACATATTCTATATAATATGTGTAATATATTGTATATAGTATATATTGTATGTTGGATATAAGCATACTATATATTATATATTATATATAACATATATTATTGTAGATAACATTATTGACAATAAAACATACAATATATTGTGTAATATGTATGACCAAATATATTATTGTGTGTCATATTAATATAATAATATAATTTTAATATCATATTTATATATAATATATTATATAATATACAATAGAATATAATGTTATATAATATAATTATAGTAATTATATTATATTGTATAATTTATAATACAATTAATTATAACTATATTATATTAATATTAATATATCACAATATATTAATATAATGTATTATTAAATATTGTATGTTATTCATATCATATAATATATTGTATGTTTTTAAAAATTTATTGTAAATGTCCCCCGCTGGAATCAAAGTGCCAACATGGTCAGGATTTTTATGCTTTTCTCACCACCTAAAATAGCTCATAGAAGACACTTAATACATATCTGCAGATCTACTTGATTAGTCACTTGTTCAGCCAACAAATTTCAGGGAAAGTTGTTTTCCTCCAAGTTTCCTATGAATAGGAACAATGGGAGTGATCCTTTAGGCCTGTGATAAATAGAAGTAGTGTCTACTTCCAGAGGTTTGGGGTTAAGGACCCAATGCTTTCCTCCAATCTGAAAGACTTTTATGTGGATGGTATTGATTATGGATTAGTGATCTTGTAGCTTTGTGACTGCTCATTGCTGCTGAGAAAGTAAGTGAAATTTACTGAATAGGATACTCTGTTTCCTGCTAAAGTTTAATTTTCTTCTCTCCCTTGTTATCCTCATTTTATTTTGTGCAGAAAGTTTATACTAATCACTCTTGGAATGAAAGAGGCTAGCTAGAGATGCTCTTAGATTGCCCTGCAAATGGAATTAGTCTCCTTTCTCACCCTTAACACTTACTCCCCTATTTTGAAGACACGGCCTGGAATTCAATAAGATCTCACGAAATCCATTGAAAGGTAGGCAGGAATAATACTCGAAGTCTCAGAGCCCAGACACTGTCAGGCCCACATGAAGAGGAGGAAGAATGGGGAGGTGTCATTTGAGGTACTTTGTCTATGCTTGGAAGATTGTCGGGAAGCTCCTGATGAATGAGATGCTAGACTGAGTGTGCTGCATTTCATCCCTTGGCCACGCTGCAAAACGGTGCCACATCTGGGACTGATGGGAAGCAGATGTTTAACTTTGCAGGGAGAAACCTTTCTGAAATATGGAACTGGGGACTCAGATGCCCTTTCTCTTTTGTTCCTCCTCAAAAACAAATCAAGGAGGGAAAATTACACCCAAGTAATGACCTGCAAGAGGACTTAACTACAACAGGTTGAAACCCATCCCATATTTTAAGGATTTGTGTAATTTTAAAAAGGGGGAAAAGAAGTAATATACTTTAAAGTTAAGTTCCGCCAATTGGACAGTTTTGGAAATTTTTTTAATGTCAAGTTCCATTACTGCTGTTTTCATGTTTCTTTGTCTCTGTCTCCTTATGTTAATTGCTACTGTCACTCAGATTCCCTGAACTACCTCTTCTTTTTTTTTTTTTTTGTATTTTTGCTATAGCTTTCCAAGTTGCTTGTTCACCTTTTCTTTTTTCACTACAAACCATCCCATGCTCTACAACTGATTGATTATTTAAATTCCTTGAATCTTAGCTCTGATCATGCTGTTCTCTTCCTCATAAACTCTCAGAGGCTCCCAGTTAGCTACTGGATAAAGTCTCTGTCCTGAAGCCTTGAATTTAAGTCCTTTGTCATTTAGACCCAACATGTGGCAGCTATCTCCCAATTCATTCTCAATACTCCAGTTAAACATAAATACATTTTACCGCTATGGTTTTTTTTTTGGTGTTTTGGTATTTTTGCACACTTTGGTGTCTTTTTGATGTGCTTTTGGTCACAATTGTCACCACATCTTATGAACCTTCTGTGTGTTAGTTTGCTAGGGCTGTCATAACAAAATACCACAGACTGCATGGCTTCAACAACAGACATTTGTGTTCTGGAGGCTGGAAGTTGAAGATCAAGGTGCCAGAAGGTCTGGTTGCCCCTAGGCCCCTCTCCTGAGCTTGCAGGTGGCCCCCTTGACTCTGAGTTCTCACATGGTCTTTTCTCTTTTTGTGGGCAATCCCTTATGTCTCTCTCTTTTCTTATAAGGACACCAGTCATGCTGGAATAGGACCCCACTCTAACGGCCTCCTCGTAACTTAGTCACCTTGGTAAAGACCTTATTTGCAAATATGGTTACATTCTGAGGTACTGGGGATCAAGACTTCAATATATGAATTTTGGGGAGAGACAGTTCAGTTGGCAACAATCCTTCTCATCTCTGTGCTTCCAAATCCTACCTCTCAAGAACAAAATTTCCTCCGTTTTTCAAAGCTGATTTATGTTTAGATTGTCTTATCGATGAAACTCTAGCATAGATTTTTCTTTTTCTTTTTTTTTTTTTTTTTTTTTTTTATTTGAGACGGAGTCTTGCTCTGTTGCCCAGGCTGGAGTGCAGTGGCACAATCTCGGCTCACTGCAAGCTCCGCCTCCCAGGTTCACGTCATTCTCCTGCCTCAGCCTCCCGAGTAGCTGGGACTATAGGCGCCCGCCACCACACCCGGCTAATTTTTTCTATTTTTAGTAGAGACGGGGTTTCACCGTGTTAGCTAGGGTGGTCTCGATCTCCTGACCTCGTGATCCACCCGCCTCGGCCTCCCAAAGTGCTGGGATTACAGGTGTGAGCCACCGTGCCCGGCCAGATTTTTCTTTCAACTGAATTTCTTGGTCTTGGTGTAATGCATCTTGGTCTAATGAACAGGCAGATCCTTCAGATGTGGAGGGAAGAGACTCAGAACTGGGCTAAAAATATCAGCTCTGTCACATAAATATATGTAAACATGGCCAGTTACCTGCATTCTTTGAGTTATCCTTTCCATTTTGTAAAAAGCAGCTAATAATACTGTCTTAGTTCACTGGTTATGAGGATTAGAAAGGAAATAAACTTCCTGAGGTTTTCTACCTAACACATAATAAGTGCTCAGTGAATATGGGAGGGAGCTATTACTATTGCTATTATTATTATTATGTTCATATAATGAGAACACTTAAATAAATTCAAGATTGAAATTTATTTATCTTACATTTAACATTTAAGATATAATTTTTTAATAAATTGAATATTTGTCTATATAACTATATCATGTAATATTTGCAAATCAATTATGAAGACTGTAGGATGCTTGGAGTGGTAGAACTTATTTATAATTGAGGCTCAGGATGTTACACAATTTGAAAAGGTAATTTAAAACTCACTTTGGAGTTGTGTGGCTGAAGAATTTTTAATCCAGAAAAAAACATTTTGCACCATAAATTAAAATATTTAGTAAATGGTATTTCTAAGCAACAAGATAATTGTTATTATTGATACTGATATTATAGGCATCACTATATATTATTTTATTTAGGTGTCACAGTAAGTAAGCAGTATTTCACAGGTTATCTACACGTGGAAATCAAGGCTCAGTGTGGTTATAACTACCTGCCCATGGTCATAGAGTGATAGGTCTAACAGACGTCGCTCTGATTCCTTATTGGTCTTCACCCAAACCTACACTGAACTCCTGATCTGGAATCCTATCTGCCCAACTGCAAGATGGCATCTCAGTCAGAGGCTATTTGAACTACTCCATCCTATAACATACCTTTGATTTTTTTTTTTTTTTTGAGGGTCTGGCTCTGTTGCCCAGGCTGGAGTGCAGTGGCATGATCTTGGCTCACTGCAACATCTGCCTCCTGGGCTGGAGAGATCCTCCTAAAGTAACAATTGTTTCCCGTTTTATAGATGATGAAACTGAGAGACTCACGGATTGTCACTTAAGTTTACACAAATAAGTAACTGAGCCGGGATGAGAACCCACTCTGCCTGAATTCAGATTCCATCTTCTTTCACTACACTACCTCACAAAATAAAACTTGTTTCTGTAGTCATGGGCTGAATGGGTCTTCTTAAAGCCTCTAATATAATAATATGTACTGTGAGTCTCAAGGAGGAAGCTACAGTAAGCATTGCTTCCTGAAAATAATTGCTAGTATTATTTCCCTAGGAGCATATTTTAGGAATTCTGTTATTAGGAATACACTGAAAATTGCTATTTTTAGGCAAAGATATTGTTTTGGAGTGGCAATATAGTATTAATATCTGATTTTATAGTCTCCTTTTCTTTCAAACTGTTAATGGCATGTAATTTATCAAGTTATTTGCATGTCTTTTAACATATGAATATGTGTTTGGTGAAGTCTTTCATTTTTCCCCACTGGAAAATGGCTGAGATATCAAACCAAAATATTTTTCTTTTTAGACAGTATTATCCTATGCTTAAAACTTAAAAGTTTCCATGCTAATCTTTTCTATGCTATGCTAAAAGTATTCCATGCTAAAAATGTAAAAATTTTCTTTTAAGGCAGTAGGCTGTGTTTGGCTTAAAAAATACCTAAGGTGCACTGATAAAGATTTTTATAGATACAAAGTTTAGTATGAGTTCGTAGGCAGTAAACATTCTTGTTTGATAATTTCTTCTTTACCAGTTGGATTTGGAAAATAAAACACTTCTCATGGTCCTCAATTTGATGGTAAAACTATATTCAAAAATTTTCCAGATTTTATATTTCAATGGCATCGAAGAAGTTCTGAAATATTTATTGTGTACAGAACATTATAGAAAGTCTAAGGGATATTAGAGTAAGTGTCATTACTATTCTAAGAATCTCATAGCCTGATATTTTATATACATCTAATTTTCTGTAAGAAATATCAAACAAGATTAGGTTAAACCTGACAAGAAAGAGCCGGCAACAACCTCTCATCTTAGCACTGACTATTCAGCAGTCTAACTCTCCCTGACAGAAGGTGGTCTAACATACCACCTAGGAAAGCCAAGGGTATGTTTCTCTACAAGAAAAGCCTCAGAGGATAATAAAGTCTTGAACTAACATCTCCAAACGAATGCATTTTTCAAGACATGCTAAGATTGGCAAAGTATGGGCTGCCCTGGCACTCGTGTTTGTATTGCATGGCAAATAGCTGTCTCAGTTCTACATGACTTAAAGTCCTAAACTGTTATGGTGGAAAAGAAATTTTCAACATTCTTTTTTCCAAATCCCACACATTAAAAAAAGCACAGATTCAAGACACATACACCCTGCTGGGAATCTATCCCCTATGTGTGGGCACTGACCGCTCCTTTTGGAATTTGCTTGTGTGTAGGAAGCATGCAGTATATTAGTTTTTGGAAACTTGATACCAGCAATGGACAGGTAAAGAAACACTAGCCAAGTTAACTTTTTAAAGAAGTTACTTTGTGGATGTTTTGGAAAAAGTAACGGGTTTTTTGAAACTGAATTTCAAGTACTTGGAATTAGAGTAAGCCTTGTCCTGTTTGGTCTCTCTTACCCTCATGCCTCAAGAAGCTCATAAGCATGGCTATAAATCTTGGAATGAAATAAGCACAGAATTCTAATCCCCTTTGTAAGATTTAAGAAAGAGAATTTTGTGTGTGTGCTCTCTCTCTCTGTCTCTGTCTCTCTCTGTGTGTAAACCTTATTTGTTGTTAGAATAGCCAATGTAAGATCAGAATATCTGCATTCAAATTTCTGATTTACTGTACAACCTTAGAGAAATTGCTTATACTGTACATACCTATGTTTCTCTATTTGTAAAACAGGAGTGAAAATGCCCATCATGGCCTGTGTTATAGAGAGTGGAACACAGAATCAAAATGGCAGATTTGAGACAACAGTATAATACTTTTATAGAAATCTTATGAATGAATTAAAAGTATATTCATGGACAAGAAGTGGAAAGAAGTACAGTGAGGGAAATGTGAACTTTTAGAGTGACAAAATGTGGGTGATTTTCACTTCTCTTTACAATAGTCAACGTAGATTTTTATTCTGTTTGGAACATACAAATAATTACTAGGGAATTCAACTTTCAGCAAGGCTTAGCAGCTCATATCAGACCCACCCTCTAACAGGTAACAACTAGGAATTCTTGACAATATACAAAATGTAAATACGTGAAGGGAATACTAGTGACCAAAGGCAGGCAAATTGTAAAAGGCAGAAGTTGATATATTTCTTTTTGAGACGGAGTTTTGCTCTTGTTGCCCAGGCTGTAGTGCAGTGGTACAATCTCGGCTCACTGCAACCTCCGCCTCCCAGGTTCAAGCGATTCTCCTGCCTCAGCCTCCTGAGCAGTGGGGATTACAGGCGCCCGCCACCACACCCAGCTAATTTTTGTATTTTTAGTAGAGATGGGGTTTCACCATGCTGGCCAGGCTGGTCTTGAACTCCTGACCTTGTGATCTGCCTGCCTCAGCCTCCCAAGATGCTGGGATTACAGGCGTGAGCCATCGCGCCTGGCCAGAAGTCGATATTTCAAAGATGATGATGGCATATAGGGTTAGTTTCCTATTTTTACGAGTTTTTAGGCTGAGGGCAGACTCCAATCTGTAATATAGGAGTAACTGAAGTTCAGATACACACGTCTCGGTCATATTGGCTCAAAAAGCCAGTAGGAAAGCCAGAGGAAAGGGTCTGGGTAGTCACAACATCTAGAAAGTGGGAGAGGAGAATCCTAGAAAGGGAAAACTTTGATTTTTATGTTTAAATTCTTCCCACATTTCTAACTGATCCCTGAACCATACATACTCAAGGAAGACCCCAAGTAGCTTAGCTAAAGCTGGAAAGAAAAACAAGAGTCCTAGAATTCAATTTGAAGTTTGAATTTACTCAAGTAATACCTGCTTAAGAAATAAAATTACCCTGGCTTGGTCTGTGCCTGGTCCCAAAAGGAGCTGAGTATGCTATAGCCAGGAAGGAGTTGAAGGGAGAAGGGGAAAAGAACCCATTCTGTCCTACATTGTTTTGCTATAATAAATAATGCACACACACACACACACACATACACACACACATAAATTCAATCATTATTGTACCCTGAATATATATATTCAGGGCACAAACCAAAATTACTTTACATATATATATATATTTTCAGGGCACAAACCAAAATTACTTTATATATGAAGAAAAAATGTATATGATTCCCAAGTGGTGGTGGGGAGGAAATTAATCAATTGATGGAGACTGATCTCAAGATGACCCAGAACTGAAAATAATCAGGCAAGACTTTTAAAGCAGCTATTATACTTATGATCAAGGACTTAAAGGGAAACATGGTCATAATAAGTGAGAAGATAGCAAACATAAAAGAATAATTATTGCAAATCAAAAGCCTAGATAAAGATAAAATATTAGCAATAGAGAAAAACTGGCAGCAAATTTCACATTTCTTCATCAAGCTTATTTGCAACATTATATTTTAACATATATCTGGGAATGTTTCTACAAGGTTGCTACTCAACTAATGTGTAATATCTATTGTCAAAAATATGTAGCCATAGAGAAAGAAAAGAGTAAAGTGATACAACAAAGTTAGAAGAGGTAATACTATTAATAATAAAAAGGTAAGCCTTTATTTAATGTTTTCTACATTGCATATCCCATGCTAAGTACTTATCCAATTATTCATTATCCAATTTAACATCCTAGTGTTCTATTGTTGTTCTGAGAATACAGATTAGAAAACTGAAGTTTAGAAAATTCAGATATCTCTCCCACGGTCCCATAGCCAGGAGGAAGTTGGTTCTTTCAGCCTTCACTCTCTGATGCAGCAGCCTGGTCAAAAAACAAACCAGAAATCTTAAGGAACAGGAGCAGTTCTCTCTTGTTTATAAGATTGTGCTGACTGATTGTGTCTACAAAGGCGAAGGAGACTGGGGAGAATATGATAACAAAGTATTGAATAAATCCAGTTTTAAAAAAATGGCTTCTCTACCTAAGGCTTTTGGTATAATTGTATCTAATAGAACTAAAAATCTGTCATTTCATCATTAGAGACAAAAATGAAAAGCAAATATCCCTGAGAGAGAAAACCATCTGATTTTAAATAATTTGAAGGTATAAAGCTATCTACTTTCATTCCTGGATAAGACTGTGTTAGTAACAATTATTTATTGAGAGTATGTTCTAGACCAGGCACATTGCTAGGTAATTTATAAATGCATGATGTATTTCACTCATCATAACCCTATGGAATATGCACTACTATCCTAGCTTACATAAATAAAAACTGAGGCTTAATGAGTTAAATCACTTGCCGAATATCATGGTTTGAAAATGGCAGAAGTGAATTAAAAAGTGGGCCTGAGGGACTCCCAATTCTGTATTCTCAGATTTCAACAACTGCAGAATATGCTGATGTCTAAATTTAAAGGAGGCAGAGAAGATGTAGAGAAAAGGAAGCTAGAATGTTGAAAAGGGAGATGGTGACACTGCAGACAAACTTTTCTCTCTGATAACATTTTCTGAGGCTGTGCTGTGAGTGATGTAAGCTCATATATGAAGGGCCCAGAGGAAAAAAAGGTGTAGAAAGACTTTAAAAATGGTATGACTGATTAGTGGAAACCTTCTCCCAACTTCCACATCCAATCATTCATGGATTCCTTCTAATTCTTTCTCCTTGAAGTCTTCAAATATGCTTCTTCATATTCACTTCCGTCAACATTGTCAAGGCCACCAGTATCACTACATTTTCTAGTTCCTGCCCTTCTCCAAATTATTGTTTTTATCACCAAAGGGTAATCTTTCGAAAACAAAAATCCAATCT
Source organism: Homo sapiens (assembly GCF_000001405.40). Lineage (NCBI taxonomy): Eukaryota > Metazoa > Chordata > Mammalia > Primates > Hominidae > Homo > Homo sapiens. The sequence goes on along the minus strand of NT_187615.1, from coordinate 166,298 downwards.
GAGCACTTTTAGCTCAAACATTTTAATGACTGTTCAAATCCTTCATCTAAAGCTCAAACTCCTTTATGCAATTTATTGAATTGATCAGCCTTATAATGTTGGACATAAATTTTAAGTTTTTACTGTCACAGAAAACGCTTTGATGAGAATTTCTCTATACATCTTTAAGTACATCCAAAACTATGTTATTGCAGGACTAAACGTCATGCTCACTATTCAATCCACTTCGGGTACTTATGATTCCACCATCTTTAAAAATCCCTTGTCTTGGCTGAGGATCCACGTCTGGCTTGATATGATGACAGTCACAGCTATGTTTTTCTTCCCAAGACACACAGCATGATAAGCAATGGGGCCCCCATAGTGAGGCAGCAAGAACAATAACTCCGTACTCTTTGGTGCAGAAGCATATTCTCATATGGAAATGGGAAGAATATGGAGAAGGGAATGGCAAGTATGACCATGAAAATGATTCTTGCTTTGCCCTCAGGGAAATTGTCTAGGAAGACGCCAAGGAACACTGTGAGGACAGTATTTTGGAATAGATAGAGGGGTGATGGAAACTCAGAGGAGCTATAGAAGCTGGAACACAAAACTAAGATTGAAAAGACAAAGGAAAAAAACCTCACAGAATCTTAAAACTTAGTAATGAAAAGAACCTTGACCCATTTATCTTTTACAGCTTTCTACTTAAAAATGATGATTCAGCAGCCAAGGAGGTCAAGTGACTGCCTTAATGTTGCACAGACAATAAGTGGCACAGTGGGATGTAATATTAAAAAGGAACATATTGAATGCATTTTAGTTATGCTAAACTTCTACCTAGGCTGGAAATGGCACTTAGGAAGACAGCTCCTAGGAAGACTGATTGACACAGAGGGCAAGGACAGAGATAACACCTCAATTTTCTGGAAAAAAATTGCAGCTAAGCATCCCTAATGTTTCAACTTCTCTTTCTAAAACAGAAACCTCCCCAAAAGTTAAGAAATAAATAGAAGCAAAAATACCAGGAAGATGTGCATAGAATTTTCCAATCCCACACTTCTGGGTATATATCCAAAGGAATTAAAATCAGGATCTCAAAGAGATAGTTGTACTCCAATGTTCATTGCAGTATTATTCACAATAGCAAGTTGGGGAAGCAAGCTAAATGTCCATCAACAGATGAATAGATTAAAAATGTAATATATATATATCACATTATATATATGTATATATATGATATACGTGTGTGTGTATGTGTATGTATATATGTATATATATGTGTGTATATATGTGTGTGTGTGTGTGTGTGTATGTATATATATATATATATGTGTGTGTATATATATATATATGTGTGTATATATATATATATATGTGTATATATATATATATATATACGTATATATATATATATAAATAATCTGGCCTAAAAAAGAAGGAAATCATGCCAGGTGCAACAGCATGGATAAACTTGGAGGACATTATGCCAAGTAAAATAAGACAGGCACAGATGAACAAATACTACATGATACTACTTATATGAAAAATCTAAAATTGTCAAACTCATAGAAGAACACAATGGAATAGTGGTTGCCAGGGGATGGGGAGGAGGGGAAACAGACAGATATTAGCCAAAGGGTACAAAGTTTTGGTTATACAAGATAAATAAGTCCTAGAGGTCTACTGTACAGTATAGTGCCTATAGTTAACATTATTGTATTATATACTTAGAAATTTACTAAAAGTGTAGATCATATGCTAAGTATTCTTACTACTACTGATAATAAGAGAGCAAGAGCAAAGTTTTGGAGGTGATAGATTTATGGCATAGATTGCAGTGATGGTTTCATGGATGTATACTTGTCTCCAAACTCATCAAGTTGTATATATTATGTACAGTTTTGTATGTCAAATAATATAAGTAAATTAAAAAGAATATTAATTTGGGAATAAAAAATGTCAGTGATTTGAAATAATCAATGGAACATGGCATTTACTAGAATAACAATAAATAATTTTGAGAGCCCACTCAGAAGTTAGAGATGCTAGAATTTAATGATATCTAGACTGAAAAAGAAATCTAGGGCCATATCATACATTAAAGTGGAAGTCGAAGCAAAGAATCTGCTGAGATTTCAAAAAGAGGCATGCGTATGTTAAGAGAAGGGATTGAACTTGGACTCAGAAGAGTGAGGTCAAGCAAAAAATCATCCTCTGGTCTTCCTTCTTCCTTTCTCTTTTTCATTCCAATTGGTCTCCTTCGAACATTTGTCCATTCTCTTCCCACCCTCATAACATAATGTTAACTCATTCTGTGTTTTAGAATTATAGTCAGATGATTTATTTTCCCCAATAACAGACAGAAGAGAGTAAGATAAGTTTACCTAAGCTGATGTAGTTGAAAGTGATTTGCTGATTTAGAAACAAAATCAACTGACTTGGGGGTGGGGGAAGAGGCATCATTAAATCCTTGAGAAATGGAAGTGTTCTTGAATAAATGAGCTCACGTCTGAATTTTACAAGAAACTTTCAGATCTTTAAATAAGCTCTTGGCTGAGAAATGTATTCAAGTTTATGAAAAGGGCGTATTGGTTTGCAAAAGGGGAAGAATAAACAGTCTAAGGAATATCAAACACCAAATACGAAATATTTGTGGGAATATTATTATAAAGTCTAGCTGCAGTAGGTGGCAGAATGATACATGAGGCCCAAGCATTAATGAAAGGAAGATGGCGTTCTACTTACTTACTTCAAGAGAAATGGTGAAATAGTTGCAAGAAGAGAGATGGCCAGATCACCCAGGGAGCATGGACCAAGACCAGACCAAGTCTCCTCCAGAAGACAAGGAAGCTTGTGTATAAGAGTCAAGGAACTGTGTGGGCAGGACTCAGGAATATGTACTTTTTCCATGTTTCCAAAGAGTATAGAGAGAATGTTAGGAGAATAAGCTCCAATGGCCTGAAATCATAGATTTTGTCTGTTTTCCTTTGTAGAATGGGTCCAGGTCTGACTTGGAAGCCCAGGGAAGTCTTCCTAGACAGTCTGTTCCCTCTTACCACTACCCACCATCCCCATTCAGCAATTGCTAGATTCTGTCCACTTTCCTTCTTTAAAAGATTCTAAGTCTACATGACAGTGTTGCCTCTTTGAAGCCCTTGTAATTTTTCACCCATATTGATGTAATATTCACACATAATACTGCAGCCAGACTAATCTTTCAGACAAGGCAAATCAAATGAGATCTTATTGGCCTCCTGCTTAAATTTCTCCAACAATTCCCCATTGCTTTCAGGATCTGGTTTTACATTATAACATAGAAGGTGTTTTATGATCTAGCTTATACCTAATTCAACTCCCATCAATCACCAAACCTTGCCAAATCTACATGCACGTGTGCTTACACATGCATGCACATACATACACATATAGCCCCTACTACATTGAAATACTGAGCTACTTACAGTTCTCTAAATACGCTACAGTCTACTTTGTTTTAGCACATGCTACTTTTGAAAGGAAAGCTGTTACTACTGTATTCTACTTTTTAAAGTCTCAGCTTTAATATAACCTCTTCCTGGAAGCCTTATCATAGCAGAGTATCCAATGACTCTCACAGTAGAGATCGTAATCTATTAAAATAAGATAACTCATCTACCCTTCACCATGTGGCTTGAGTGTGTGGAGAACAGGGATTGCCTCTTTAACTCTCTTCACAGATTTTCAATAATTGCTATATAAAAGGCTAGATCAATGAAGCTCAAAGCAAAATGTTTTTCTTATAAATTATGCAGTTTTATGTGTGATCTAGGATTTGATCCTGTACTGGCATAAAGGGGGAGGAAAGCAATGAAGGACGTTATTGAGATTGTTGAATATGTTTTGATAATTTTGCGTTACGTAAGAGAATATTCCCGTTCCTAAGAAATACACAATACTATCATGTACAATAAAGTGGCATAATGTCTCCAACTACTCTCTAAGGTTCATCAAAATTACATAGCTGTGCAGACAGAAAGATTGGTAATGCAAGTGGGGAAAAGATAAACACTTGGTGAATATGAGTAAAGGACATACAAGAGTCCTATTCTTGCACAGTTAAAGTTTTTATAAATTCAACATTACACCAAAATCAAAAGTTGAAATAACAGTTAAGAAGGATCCTCCAAGAAACTGAGAGATAGTAGAAACCAAATGTCAAGAAGCCTGCCCTCCACTATAAAGGTGTCAATAAGAAGAAAAAGTTCATAGAAAAAAAAAGTAATGAGAAGTTCCTTAAATTTATAAGAGTGGTTTTCTCTCTTCTGTTTCTTTGATGATATTGGAACTCCTGCCTCTAATATTCTTCATCTGATCTTGTATTCCTTGACTGCACAGGCTCTAATCTTGCCTTATTCTGAACATTTCTCTGACAAGCACCTTCCCAGTCAGATCTCACCTTCTTTGCCTTCTACAAGACTTATCTCTGCCTTTGATACTGGAATTCAGTCATAGCTGAATTCCGTATAAGAACTATAGTTGCCTGTAATGTTTTCATTTCTCTTTGGTTGTTCATTTACAGTTTAATGTCTTTGAGGACATGAACTGTTTTTGGATGTTCCCACAGTGCCTAGCTTCCTCTGATGAGAAGGATGTAAGATGTGCTAGACCTTTTGAGAAACTGCTTTCTTTGTGAATGTTTACAATATTTGAGAAACAAATATTGTAAAATTGAATGGATGAGCAGTAGTTTGGTGCAGTGAAAAGAATAAAGAAAGGACAGGGAGCCAGGAGACCCAGTGGTATGTCTGTAGGTGAGTCATTCACCTCCTCTTGATTTCAATGTCATAGTTTAAAAAATGAAAATTGGACTGTATGACTACTAAGATTCAGTCTTGTCCTGAAGCTCTATGCCTACACTCACAACAAAGAAATATAATCGCAGAAAAATCATACATAATACAGTATGCAAATAAACCTTAAGGGAACAAAAACATGAATAGTTAACCGAAGTAGATAGGTACAAATGACTTTTTATTACTGCCTAAGACAAAAGAGACAACGCTTCAAAGACAAAATGCTACAGTCAGTCCATAAAAGTCCTAAGTCATCATGGATGAAAAGAAGAAAAGCAAATAATGGAAAAGGAAGGCATATGTTTATCACTGAGAAATTAGACAAACTGTCTATATTCATTCAACGAAGTACTATATAGCTGTTATTATGACTTAGGGCTATATGTGACATATTGATGACACTCAATGCTGTGCATAAATATAGAATAAAAAAGTTACATATGGATATGTACCGTATCTACCATTGAAAAATACTATGTAAAAATACACACATGAAGTAAAATAATGAATACCACATTTTGGAAAGTAGTAACTTTTGGGAGAAGTGTAATAATTTGGGGAACTGGTGTGCAAGGAGCAATGTTAGAACAATTTACTACTTAAATGAAATTTGAAACAATTAAGAAAAATGCAAAGATTTCAGAATGCTGGGTAAGTAAAGGTAAAAATGATGTTTCTTACATTTCACTCTTCATTAAAACATTCTGAGTGTTTTGAATATTTCATAATGAAAGAACAAGAGGAGAGGCAGCAAAAAGGGGAATGGTGTCTCAAAGTCTTAGGGGTTAAAATATTTCAGGAAAGAGATTTTAAAAAGAGGGACAAGAAGGAATAAAGCTAGATGCAACACAGAAGTGCTCCTGCAAGTTTGCTGAAATAACCATAGATGTGCAATAAGAACGCTCCCATTTGCATTCTAAAGACAGAGCTGACATCTTTCTGTGTATTAAGAGAGAATTGAACTGTATATTTCTAATGCATGCTGTTTGAATTCAGGCATCCAGGTTTTAGAATATAAATCAAACTTTCCTTTTTCCCGTCTTCAGCAAAAGCTGCTTTGCTTAAGTTTTGTAAATAGATGTAGCCTTATTTGGGAGATGGTTTTTTCCTCTGTGGGAAATGGGAGCAAAAGTGCTGCGTGGCCATTGTTTCTGACAGTTCATTTATGCAGATGAAACAATCCATTCATTTGGTGAATCCATGGAATTAATGGCTTCCACTTTGTACTTTCTGAAAAACATACAGCGTTTCAGGCCTCTGGATTTACATTCTACAGAGTTTCTGGTATAATGGAATAGTTTCAGGTCCCTGGAGGGCAGGTATATGGCTCTGCAAGAGTGTTGATGGCTTTCCTAACACACAGGCGTGTGCATTTCTAAATGTTCTCACTTGGGGCAGTTTTTTAAACAGCCCTTTGACACAGTGTGGGAGAAATGCTTCTCAGTGACCATTTCTGAGGAAAGTTGCTTAGAGACTTGGGCCCTAGTGCTGAAATGTGACCAAGTCATCTTCTCCTTCAGGCAAGAGGCTTCTAAACTGAGAGTAAGTATTATTTTTTGTAGCAATTTAATGAAAACTTTTTTTGGAACAAAAATCCTTAAAACGTGATTTTTTTTTCTTCTGTGTCTAATTTGGTACTTGTGGGAATTAGTATTTAGCACACTGAGAATTAACATAAAGTGATCATACATGAGGTGGGAGAGAGTTTATCAATTAGCCATTGCCCCACAAAAATATGATAATTCTCCACTATATTTTATTTCTTTATTCATTTTTGAAACAAAGTCTTGCTCTGTCACCCAGAGTAGGGTGCAGTGGGGTGATCTCGGCTCACTGCAACCTCTGCCTCCTGGGTTCAAGTGATTCTCCTGCCTCAGCCTCCCAAGTAGCTGGGATTACAGGTACTGTACACCATGCCTGGCTAATTTTTGTATTTTGGGTAGAGATGGGGTTTCACCATGTTGGCCAGGCTGGTCTCGAACTCCTGACCTCAGGTGATCCACCCACCTCAACCTCCCAAAGTGCTGGGATTACAGCTGTGAGCCACCGCGTCTGGCCTATATTTTAAAACGATGTTATGGTTGGACTCATTCTTACCTCTAATAGGAATAATTGCATTCTGCCACCGAGGTCTTATTAGGTCTCCACTCTCTGGTAGCTGTGAGTAGCCCAGCTACTTTAGGAACAAATGGACCATGATTAAACAATTAGTGACAAATCTATGGCACTTTTATTTTTATTATTATTATTTTTTATTTCAATAGCTTTAGGGATACAACTGGTTTTTGGTTACATGAATGAATTGTATAGTGGTGAAGTCTAGGCTTTTAGTGAACTCATCACCCAAATAGCGTACATTGTACCCAATAGGTAGTTTTTCATCTCATGTTCTCCTCCCACCCTCTCCCTTTCTAGTCTCCAATGTTCACTGTACCACTGTGAACATGCAGTATTTGTTTTTTCATTCCTGATTTACTTCACTTAGGATAATGGCCTCTAGTTCCATCCAAATTGCTGCAGAAGATATTATTTCATTCGTTTTATGGCTGAGTAGTAGCCCATGGTGTGTGTGTGTGTGTGTGTGTGTATGTATGTGTGTGTACCACATTTTCTTTATCCACACATTTGTTGATGGGCACTTAGGTTGATTTCATATCTTTGAGATTGTGAATTGTGCTGTGATAAACCTATGAGTGCAGGTGTCTTTTTAATATAATGACTTCTTTTTCTTTGAGTAGATATCCAGTAGTGGGATTCCTGAATTAAATGGTAGATCCACTTTTAGTTTTTTTAGAATTCTTCAGACCATTTTCCATATAGGATGTACTAATTTACATACCCACTAACAGTGTGTTAAGTGTTTTTTTTCACCACATCTCTGCCAACATCATTTTTTTTGACTGTTTAATAATTGCTAGTCTGACTGGGGTGAGGTGATATCTCATTGTGGTTTTAATTTGCATTTCCCTGATGATTCATGGTGTTGAGCATTTTTTCATATGTTTGTTGGCCATTTGTATATCCTCTTTTGAAAAATGTCTCTTCATGTTATTTGCCCAGTTTTTAATAGGATTATTTTATCATTTCTTGATGGTTTGAGTTTCTTATAGATTTTGGATATTGATCCTTTGTCAGATGTATAGTTTGCAAATATTTTCTCCCATTCTTTATGTCGTCTGTTTATTTGTTGATCATTTCTTCTGCTGTACAGAAGCCTTTTTAGTTTAAGTCCCATTTACTTATTTTTGTTGTTGATGCATTTGCTTTGTGGTCTTAGTCATAAGTTATTTGCCCAGATCAATATCCTATGGCATTTTTAGATATTCAATATCAAGTTCATAAATATGACACATAAAAAGTAGAATGAATAACAATGCCTAGGAGGACAAATTGCAGAGTTACAATAAAGGTATTATCTAATTGATACTTTTAAATCTTCCTAGAAATTATTAAAAAGTGACTGATATCCTTTTATGAATGTAGTGCTATATATTGCTATCTTTTTTATCCAGATCATTGATATGATTTGTATATTTTATTTTGCTCACTGTCACTGCTTTTCCTTCAATACTATTAATTTTATTCTATGAATAAATTAGTGAAACATTCACTTATTCATTCAAAACCAGAAAGTGTCATCTTATGCCAACTACTTTGCTACAAATAAGACATGCTCCCCATAGTGAAAGTGCCTTCAGTCTAAGTGGAAGGGTGATTGGGGGGGCAGATCCAAAAATTAGTCAGTACTAGACATCTATTACATTTTGATGTACACTGTATTCCTTTCTTTAGGGAACTGCTCTGTTCCCCAACCCATGTGATTTTTTGGATCTATCACCCCTGCCAAAAGTTGAGCATGTGAATCAAACTGGACAATCGGAATAATTCATGCCTTGAGACTTCATGATTAGTGCCGCATAATGCAAACGTGAACAATCAAAGCCCTTCTGTGCAACTGCTATGGGCAGAGGCAGAGCTGGGGGAAGGGGAGAGGGGGAGAGAGAGAGAGAGGAAAGAGAAATAAAGAATCTTACTTTTTGAGATCAGATGCTCGGAATGGTACCATGTGATTCAGGAGAGGCTGCAGGTTCTCTTGCTGACCTACAGAGAGATTGTGTACTACACTGAAGTGAAGTAGAGATAATCAGATCGAAGAAGTCAGGAGAGAGAGAGGAACACACTTCTGAAGACATCCTTGATAGTTACATGCCTGAAGCCAGTTCTACCCCATAGATTTCCCAGAGCCAAAATATCTCCCATAGTTTTTATTTTTTATTTGTTTATTTTCCATCTTAAATTCATTTGAGTTTGATTTCTATCAGTTGCAATCAAATGGATCTTAACTACAACCGTTAACCAGGTGGACTTTATGAGGAATGAAAGAGGAGAATGATCTGGAATCAGTCCCTTGTCTTCAGTTCCTTCAATGGAGTGGGCAGTGGGGATGGAAAGGAGAGTAGGAATTAAGCCGAAATTGAGGAAGCTAAATTTTGAGAAAAAACGAGGACAATTGTCTATCAGAAGATCAAGTATAGAAAATGATTGTCAGTTTCTGTCTAGCTGCCTTTCGTGGCATAGCAGACATGTCCACCCATCCACAGTACTTCGTAATTGTAGAGCCCCATTTGCTCAGGTGGTAGGTGAGGATCCTTTTATTTCAGGGTGAGATGCTTTTCCATTTTCAGGGGGTGAATCAGGTTTCAGGAGAAGTCCTGGTTTATACCTGTTGCCTGGTATAATTTTCAATATTTCTTTTTGATGTGGAACAGGCGGGCCCCAAAGTGCAGTTTGGCCCATAAGGGTTCTTGGCTTTGCCTAGGAAAGAATTCAAGGGTGAGCTTGTGATAGTGTAGAAGAAAACAGTTTTACTGAAGCAGCAGCTTACAGCTCTGGAGGTGTTACAGCCCTGTGACTGCTCTTGCAGAGCAGGGCTACCCCATAGGCAGTGGACTGAGAGTAACAGCTCAAGGTTGTTTCACAGTTATATTTATACCTCCTTTTAATTGCGTGTAAAATAAGAGATAGTTTTATGCAGAAATTTCTAGGGAAGGGGTAGTAATATTTAGGTTAACAGGTCATTGCTATGGAAAGGAGTGGTAACGCAGGGGGTGTTGCCATGGTAATGGTAAACTGACGTGGGCGTGGTAAACACTGGTGGGCTTGTCTTATGGAAAAGCTGCCTGTGCCCCGTCCCTGTTTTAGCTAGTCCTCAATTTGGTCCTGTGTCTGAGTCCCGCCTCCAGAGTTGAGTTCTGCTTCCTACCTCACTTTCACACTCAAAAGTGTTCTGTCTGGGATGATAAATTTCATGGTCTTTTGATCATGGCCAGACTGCATCAGGCATGGACTCTAAATCAATAGTGATTGGTCTTCAAAGGAAGACTTGGGACCTAACTCTCGTGAGTGAAACGTGAAAATGTTTCTGAGCAAAGCCTCAGTAGTGCACAGATATCTGTTTCCCTCAGAGTACTAAATTTCATCATTTAAAAATATTTGCTAATTTGATCATTTAAAATGAAAACCCTTTAAATTTGAGTTTCTCTACTGGTGCAATTGAATATTTTGTATAATATAGTGAATTTGTTTTTTATTGAACTGTATATTCACATCCTTTCTTTTTTCTATGGGAAACTGCCTCTTACTCAATTTTAACAGATTTCTATAAATTACTTATACAACATTTAGTTTTTCATTACATAACAATTTTACCATATTTTTGTTTGCCTGTTATTTTTTTTTCGAATGTTGGTCTCTTCTTTTTTTAAAAACATGTACAACATGGTTAGTGAATGTCTGAATATATATAATTATATAGAGATGGTTTATTGCTTCTACTGGAATATGTGCTTTTTTTTTTCTTTTTTTCTTTTTTTTTTTTCTGAGACGGAGTCTCCCTCTATCACCCAGGCTGGAGTGCAGTGACATGATCTTGGCTCACTGCAGCCTCCATCTCCCAGGTTCAAGCAATTCTCCTGCCTCAGGTTCTCAAATAGGTGGGATTATAGGCACCCACCACCACACCCGGCTAATTTTTGTATTTTTAGTAGAGATGGGGTTTTACCATGTTGGCCAGGATGGTCTTGAACTCCTGACCTCAGGTGATCCTCTCACGTCAGTCTCCCACAGTGCTAGGATTACAGGCATCAGCCACCGTGCCTGAGATTTAATGGTCTAAATCAGCTAACATGCCATTTTTATTGGGAAGTATCAAGAATTAATCTTGAAAGATAGTTGCATGTATATAGAGAAATATCTTGAATACTAGGGTAAAGAATTTGTGTATAAGTTGTTGATTAGTAAATGAGGATGAAGATACTACTTTCAGTTCCAGTCTGTTTGAAGTTTCATAGCCAGAGAGACTGGAGGAGCCCTATCAGTTGGTTAAAGAGGATGCACTCCATCCCTTATCCTGGGTCCTTAAAAAGAAACCAATTTTCCACATCCTATGGGGTGATGGGCTCAAACAAGTTTTGTGAAGAAGAAAAAAAGATTGGAAAGCTTTGTGGCACTTGCCATTGGTAATATGGAGTGAAGTTCTGGAGTAGCATGAGCCATGGAAAGGCAAAATGGATGAAGAGATTCATCCTCTGCTGGAATTAATCACTCTTTACTCATGTCCCCTAAAGGAAAGTTATTTTGTAGCCTCTATGCTATAATGCCTCTTTTGCAGTCAATTGTTTACACGTTTCATTTGCTACAAAGATGTGAGCTGTTAGCTTGTGGGAAACAGTACCCAACGGGTTCAATGACTGGCTACTGAGCTGAATTGTTGCCACTATTGTACAAGGCCTCAAAAGAACACCATACATTCTTACCACCCAAGGGTCTCAATGTCCCAGAGTTCCCAATTATCTCCTTATATTCCTATAATTTACCCATGGAACCAGTATCACGCTGCTGTTTTCTTGAACACTGTAGTTCTTTTATATTTTTTAAGTATGCCATGATAGTTAAAAGGGTGGTTTCAGAAGCCCGAGTCCTTTGTTCAAATCACTGCTTTATAACTCTCTAGCTTGGGAAACATAGAAAGTTATCTTACCTCTCTGATCCTTAATTTCTTCATCTGTAGAGTGGGAAAGACAATGTTATCAACCACTTTGTACATCAGGATACTTTCTGCTGAAAGTGTTAGGAAAACCTAGGTCAAACTCATCTACCCAGTGATAAAATTGATCTCACATCAGTGGAAATCAGGAAGATAGCTTGGTCTAGATGCAGTATGATCAGTGGCTCAATAGTGACACTCAATGCTCAGATTTTTCTCTCTTCTGGGACATCTTATGATGTGGTGGCAATGAGATTGCATTAACTCAAGCTGTCACACTCAGGAATATTGGTGTGATATCAGATGAAAGATTATCTCTTTTACTCTATCTTCTTTTTAGAATACAGAAACCTCTTATCAGACTTCCTTTCCTATGTTTTTTAGTAGGTTTGGTCGCATGCCCACGCTTAACCCAACACTGAAAAAAGGAATGGCATTGTAATAATTATCATGAGATAGTCAGTTGAAATGTACTCAACAAAGCAACCACCATGACTGCTATGCATGGTTTGTTGTTGAGTATTAAATGAGATATTGCATATAAAGCACTTCAAACAGTGCCAGGCACAAGTAAGCTCTCAGTGAATCATTATCTATTATTAGTTATGGATCAATTTACTTATTTTTAATAAAATGAAAATAATAGCTATCACTTGATATGTTTCTCTAGGAACATTTTGTTCCAGTGAGCAATCAGACTTTAAACGAAAACAATATTTAATGGTGGATTTGCAGACATCAGTGAGCTGGGTTATTAAGCTATTTTGTGGGCTTGGGGTACTTTCACAGAAGAAATTCTTCAATGAGAAGCATTACATCTTCATAATTTTAGCTTCTATTGAGACAGGGAAGTTAATGAAGCTAACAGGAAGTAGAAAAAGAAAAGCAGAACAAAATTCCTCATCTGCAACTTGGTCACAGCCCCTTCCCTTTCTTTAGCATAGGGAGTTATCTGAGCTTTATGGCTATTGCAGTCCACCAGAGACCTTAGAGGCTGCCTTTTCTCCTAGCAACCCTCATGCTGTCCCTTGACATCCCTTATATTTCCCAGATCCAGAACAACATCAGATAGAGCCCTTTTAGCTTCAGGCACTGGAGGAGGTATTTCTGCAAATAATCACTATTGTTTTTGCATTGTCTCCAACTCCTTCAGAATTCTAATCACAGAATAGAGAAGGAGAGGACAAAGGCCCAAAGGTTTAAGATTGCTTGGTGAAGACTGAAGCAGGAATGTCAGTGAACTGCCTCACAAATCATTCCTGAGGAGTCCCGAGGTGCAAAAACAGATCTGCTCATAACGACTAATGAGGTGTCATGCCATGATTTTTCCCTCCTACTATACATTGTATTTGTCAAGGGGAGAAATTCTGAATAGGGAACAGTTCATAGCTTGACCTCAGGTTTCAGCTCAGGGTCCTAATTTGACTACCCACTTTAAAATACTTCATAAGCATTTTCTTGTGCAATCAATGTACAAGATTGGTTGGGACAAGCCTTAGAGCTTTTTGCATGAGCTCTCCTCACTCAGGGTCACCACTGATAAACAACCATGCAAACTTCTGGGCCTTACTCACGGGAACTTTGGTTGAAAGGGGCGGTGCAGGTGTTTCCATAACCCTTACCTCAAATGTGCCAAGGCTCTGGCGCCTTCAAGACTGGTTTGGGACTCTTACAAGACCAGCCATTCTTGGGGAGGTTTCCAAGAACTTCCTGTTACTAGTCAGGCAAAAAGAGAGATGGAGAAAAAGTAAAAACAACTTCATTTCTTTTTGGGGAGTTCAGCATAAATTTTGCGGTCAAAGAGTCAGAAAATGCCAAGCTTGCAATAAATGTCACCTTTTTGGTAGTGCTGTGGGTGAACAGATGGTTAGTGGGACTTTTGGTGGGAGAGATGGGGGCGGTATGAAGAAAATCTTTCATCAAACCTTTGCAGAATAATTTCAATAAACTATTCCTTGACATCAGCAAATGCCTATCAATTCCAAATTTAATTAGTGGCTTTTCTTTATGGCCTTGAGCTTAGTTGCATAATCATGCACTTATTCTTTCTGATATTTAAGTACCATATTAATAAAGGAAATATATGTAATACATACTTGTGGAATTACTGCTTTCAGCACTTTCTTTGGGATCTTCAAATAGAATACATAAAGATATGGTAAAGGATGTTCTTTGTTATTGCAACATCTCTTAAAAGGCTTATTACTTTTTTTTCCAGGAAGGAAAATAATTTGTTAAGTGTCTTAGCTACTGCTCGTTGAGCTGAAGTTCAAGAAGCACCTATCTTTTTTTTTTTGACAAAGCTATTCAAACTTAGAAATGAATATTTTGCCTCTTTTGCTAGCCACAGTGCTACATTTCAAAGCTCATTGGAGCAATTAATGTACAGGAGTCTCACTGTATTTTAATGCAAAAATAACAGAAGAGAAAGCCAATTCTAACAACTAGTTCAAGACAACATTTTATAGTGCATTTTTAAATGGCTCTCCTGGTAGCTTGGCTGTCTATCAGGAAGAAAACAAACCAAATATTGGTGAGCTTGTTAAATAGAAGTCTACCACCCCCTTGTCTATTTCATAGTCTCCTCCCTTTGAAACACACACACACACACACACACACACACACACACACACACACACATTTTCTAATTGTAAATGAGTGGACAGTTTATTTGCAGCTGTGCTATGGTCAAACCAGATGCACAGAAAATAAATACAGAAAAGAGAATGATCCTCTGAAAAACATGTATTTATAAAAGCCTCCAGCAAAGTGCCTCAGTATGAATGTGGCTGAAACCTAAGGGCCTCTTTATCCCTGTGTAATGAAGAAATCACAAACAGTAGACTTGAAAGTATGAACTCAGGCTTCAGGATTATTTAAAATGTTATAAATTACTATAATCACATCCAATATGCATTCATTCACCTACCATACAGTAAATATATATATATATATATATATATATATATATATATATATATATGTTGAATTTAAAATATATGTAAGTTACTGTTCAGGAACTGGAGGTGCACAGATGAACATGCATGCTTCCTGATCTCAAGTATCTCCTAGTTTCTCCGCAGGGGTTACAGGAGAGGAGAGAGAAACCCATAATTACAATAGAATATAGCAAATGTAGTGCAGAAATAGGAAAAGTGGGCTCTCATTGTCCAGAATATGGTGAGTGGTCAGCACAGTCTAGGGGTGATAAGAAAATAATTTCTGCAGAAAATATTGTCTCAACTCTGTATTGAAGTATGAGTGAAGAGTTAGTTATACAACAGAGGGTAATAAAGGAAAGAGACTCGAAGCTTCCGGGACAATTTATGCAAAATCCTGGGGTCAAGAATAGCTTGATATGAAAAATTACAAGCAATTGAATGTTGCCTAATGGCACCCATAAAGGAAGGGGCATATTACCAGATAACAGATGCAGGCAGGAGCAGAGCTCAGAAAGTCTCTCTGTGATACTTTAAAGAGCTTGGATTAATCTTGTAGATAATGAGGAGCCACAGAATGGTCTAAACAAGTGTCTGGCATAGCTAAATTTTTGTTCTCAATGAATTATTCTCTATAGAGGTTAGATTTGAACAGCAATATACTAGCAAATGTTTAACAATTTACTGTCTGGCAACAAAAAGTCCTGATTCCAGCATTTGCCAATTTCCATGGTGTAAATACTTTCATTTTAGCAAATTTTAAGGTGCCAATTTAAAGTCACTAAACCCAGAGCTGGGAAGAGAAGAGCATAATTGGATTTTATCCGCTAGTAAAAGTTGATTCCAGCCCATCACTGGATTGGAGGAGCAGATTGAAGAATGAAGATATGTTAGGCCACTTACACAGTTTAGGCAAAAGATAAGATGGGCCTGAACTAAAGCAGAGACAGCTAATGTAAAAGAGAGAGGATGGCTAACCTAGGTGATTTTTTGGATATGGAAGGTGAGAAACAAGGAAAAAAGGGTAACTCCCTGTTTCTACCTTGAGTCACAGGCTTAATTGCTACACAGGGAGGAGGAGGAGGGAAGAATGCTTTAGGTAGAAGATGCAGCCAGGTGTGGAACATCTTGGTGGTGTGTTTAATCAGTGGTGGTACATATGATTCTGAATCCTGGACGCTAAGGGAGAGGTAGGCATTTGAAGAAGAGTTGTTGGTGGAGAGAGTTATCACTCTCTTGGTGCTGATGAAATCATAGGCGAATAAGATTGACTGGAAATGTATAGAAGTAGAAGAGTAGAGGAGAACTGTCTAGCTGTTGTGCTGCAGTATCCTGGTGTGTCTTAGATAGGTTATAAGTACACAGAAATATTGATTCCTTTAACTTTGGGGCTGCTATGGGGTGTCTAGAAATGACAGGGCAGGATTTGGGCCAGCAGAATTTCAGGAGCAATGATAATGGCCTTATCATTCCCTGTTCCTTCATGTCCTGTGCAAATGTTATCTTCTAAGTGTTTCTGGATATAGAAAAACATGAAATTCTAGCATATTTTACAACCCTTGATTATATCCTCACTTAAGGGGGAGATAAAGGAAAATAATCTTTAGAGGGAGACTCAGAGGGAAACATCAGAGAAGGTCAAGGAGAACCTGCAAAGAGTAGTATCAAGGAAACTAAATATTATATTTGCAGAATGAACCTTCTTCTCTCTGGTGATCAATTACCAAAGTATGCCGGTTCATTTTTATATCTACTATCTCCTGCATTTATTCATTCTTTCAGAAATCCAGATAATCACACTTAGGTGTCAACTCCCTGTGAAGTGTCAGGTGCCAGGTTTTTTGAACATTAGGTATTTATTTGGTTCTGACTGATAGCATAGAGCAATCTAACATTGTAGGAAGGAAGAGTACAAATTGGTCTTTGTTGTTTTAGAGACTTAGTGATCGTGTTAGTGTTTCCACTATTTGGGAGAAAGTGCAGATCTCCTCCCAAGGCAATTCACAAAGACCAAGGAGATTCTTTCTGACATTCGGCTAAGAACCCCTTTTATTATTGTTAATATTTTTGAGATGGAGTTTCTCTCTTGTTGCACAGGCTGGAGTACAATGGCGTGATCTTGGCTCACTGCAACCCCTGCCTCCCGGGTTCAGGCGATTCTCCTGCCTCAGACTCCCGAGTAGCTGAGATTACATGCGCCCATCACTATACCTGGTGAATTTTTTGTACTTTTAGTAGAGATGGGTTTCACCATGTTGGCCATGCTGGTTGCGAAATCCTGACCTCAGGTGATCCACCCACCTTGGTCTCCCAAAGTGCTGGGATTACAGGTGTGAGCCACCGAGCCAGGCCAAGAACCCCCTTTTAAATTACTTAATTCATTCAGAAATACTTGAGTACATACTGTGAGCCAGACGCTGGGTTGAGAATTTAGCAAATGAAACAGATAAAGCCCTTGCCCTATGGAGCTCACATTCTGGAAGTGGGACAATAAGCAATTAAATAATGATGGCAGATAGTATGTCAGATGATGATGAGTGATATTGAGACAAATAAAGCAGGAGAGGGGTAGGAATGGCTGGGGAGAAACTACATTTTAAATAGGGTGGTTGGGGAGACTCCAACACTTACTAAAACGTATCAGTGAAGTCTCCTGAGTCATAATGACTAAATTCAACCAGGAACCCGCACAAAAATCGAATGCATTGTTATTTTCCCAGAGGAACTTATTCTTATTTAAGAACTTATTTAAGAAGACTCAAGGGCCTGGTTTTTATATCCCAATTTTGGCTCGTGAATCCAGCTTATTTTGTATTCATATTAGTTAATGGCTAAACCTTTCTTTGCTCAGTGTTCCAGAATGAATACCTATCATCAGTCTGCCATGCGTTGAATAAATGGAGCATTGGAAGTGTCCCTAATAGTCTTTTGGGTCTTGTGGCTTTGAAAGGAGATATTTTTAATATCTTAAAATTTTAACCTCTATACTATCTCACTCATCTTGTATCCTTTTATTTCTGGAAGAAAAAAAAAAAAGGCCCACTGGCAATTTTACTTTCTCTGTGAATAACTTTCCCCCAGAATCTGTATTTTTCCTAACTGAGAGATGGCTGAAGGCAAATCCTGATTTGCTGACTTTACTCTGCCCCAGAAACTCAGGACATGGCTGGAAAGCTGCTGCTCTTGGGAGTCTTAGGCCATGGGGCATCGGGGTAGAAGAAGCTGTGGTTATAATGAAGTCCCTCAGGTCCTTTAAACATAATCTCCCTTGAATAGGATTCAAGACCAATTTGTATTGGACTGAATTTGGCAAAACAGATCTTACCAAATAGGTATATTCACGAAAGCACAAATGAAACCAAGTTTGATAACTCAAATCCCACCTGAAACGCTCTAAGGAAAATCACTGAGGATGACATCTAGTGAATCCTTTTGGAAAGTGAATAATTGACACCAAGTTCCTCTTAGTACAAGCACAGATTTATGTATTTGGGGTATGTCTGTAACTGCTATACCTCTAAGGAAAATTTTGAGAACACATGAATTACACACTAAACAATGTGATAATCAATCTTTATTGTATGAGATATTTTCTAGAAGAGTTGTCTCTGCCTAGAAGAAGGCTCAACATCTTTTTCTGTAAATACCCAGTGAATTCTTCCGCTTTTGGAAGTCTTGTGTCTGTTACAACTGAGAACTCTTCCATTGCAGCACAAATGCAGCTATAGACAATATGCAAATGAGTAATGTGTTGCATTAATATTTTATGAATGCTAAAATTTAAATTTCATATAATTTTTGTGTATCATAAATTTTTCTTGCTTTTTTTTCCAAAGCATTTAACAACATAAAAGATATTCCTAGTCTGTGGGCCACACAAAAACAGATGGCAAACTGGATTTGGTCCACAGGGGATAGTGTGATGATCCAAGAGCTAGAAAATTATGTTATGTACTGTTCACACATTATTTCCTCCAGATTTACATGATTATCATTCAGTAGATGTTTGGGACATTGTTTGTACGTCTGTGTATTTAATGGATAAAGTTCCAGCCAGATTTCCAACATTTCCTCTGGGCTTTTGAATGAGTTATGGGACCTTTCTGACTCAGTTTCTTTACCTGTAAAATGGGGAGAATGATACTCACCTCTGGTGGGTGATATAATAATTAAATTATATGATATTTATGAAATAGACAGCACAGTGCTTATACATAGTAACTTAATAAATAAATGTGTCTGTTGGCAGGCGTTTCATATTTCCTCTCACTAGAAACATATTTTGCTCTTGAAGTTTCATCTCTAGAGGGCAGATATGTGGCTTATGAATCTGAGGCTGAATACTAGCCAATATCATCTTTCAGCTTGATGTCATGGATTGTCTCTTTCCCGGTGGTTGTTCCTCTAGCTAGAGAGAAGATTTGTCCCTGTTGGGTATTTCTGGTCATCCCTGGCTTGCCCAAGGAGCTGATAGTACAAACTGGCCTTCCTTGTCTGTGGTTTCTTTAACTTGCCTTCCTCATTAGATTCCGAGCTGTTTAAGGAGACCTCCTGATTTGATTAGCCAATACATCAGTCAATTTCTCTTCAATAGGAACCCTCTTAGTTCCCTTTTACCAATCACAAGGCATATTAGTCAGTTCTTTCACTGCTGTAAAGAAATATCTGAAACTAGGTAATTTATAAAGAAAAGAGATTGAATTGGCTCATAGTTCTGCAGGCTGTACAGGAAGCGTGGCGGCATCTGCTTCTGGGGAGGCCTCAGGGAGTTTTACTCATGGCGGAAGGCAAAGTGGGAGTAGGCGTCTTACATGGCAGGAGCAGGACCAAGAGAGAGGTGGGAGGTGCCACACACTTTTAAACAACCAGATCTCATAAGAACTCACTCCCTGTCACAAGAACAGCACCAGGAGATGGGGCTAAACCATTCATGAGACCTCCACCCCCATGATCCAATCACCTCCCTCCAGGCCCCACCTCCAACACTGGGATGACATCTCCATGTGAGATTTTGGTGGGGACACAAGTCCAAACCATATCACAATATGGCCTGAGATTTTGGTTGCTGTTTGTCATCATTAACTTACAAAGGATATGGTTTGAAGGGCCATTTCTTCCCTGACACTTTGTTTTCTGTCTTCTACATTCCTTGAATATATACATTAGGTCAGTTTTGACACATTTTTAGATAGGGAGGAAAGCTTTTCTAGGGGGTGCTCTCTCTGGATTGGATGCAGAGAATGAATCGATGATGGACCACACAAGTCAATATAACAGCCGGGACTATAGAGAGGAACTATAGAAAATGCAGCTCTTGGCTGGGGGTAGTGGCTCATGCCTGTAATCCCAGCACTTTGGGAGGCCCAGGAGGGCGGATCACCTGAGGTCGGGAGTTCGAGACCAGCCTGACCACCATGGGGAAACCCTGACTCTACTAAAAATACAAATAATTAGCCGGGCATGGTGGCACATGCCTATAATCCCAGCTACTAGGGAGGCTGAGGTAGGAGAATCACTTGAACCCAGGAGGCAGAGGTTTCAGTGAGCCGAGATCGCACCATTGTACTCCAGCCTGGGCAACGAGGGCAAAATTCTATCTCAAAAAAAAAAAAAAAAAAAAAAAAGAAAGAAAGAAAAGAAAATACAGCTCATTCAGGAACCTAGAGGTAGAGCAAGAAGTAGAAAAGTCTGAAGATCTCATAGACGCAATGACACCGGCATAAGAGGAAGCAAAGTGTTGACTGCTTTTTATCTTCCACTTCTGCAAGTGGGGTATTTTCCTAAGAGGTGTGGATATATATAGTTTGTTGCCAATATAAGATAAAAATATTACATAGAAAACAAAATACATTGTGCTTGTTATGTTAAATGTGTATATATTATAGAATATATATTATATAGAATAGACAGTAAAGCTAATACCTAGGGGTAGAATAAAATATGAAGTGCAGGTTCCCTACTGCCCAGGGCCTGGGGCAATAAAGATGACTGAAGAGGTGGAAATAGGGACTGCTGTTTTATGGCCACCAACAAGGAGTTGCTTTACTTCAGCATTCTTTCCAAGTTTGCTCACTTCTTTTTGCTGTAGAAATGATTTTAGAGCAGATTCTTGCCACTGACAGCTGGATCATAGTTAAGAATTATTTTCACCAAGCCTATACAGGCTGAACGTCTACTCTCAGACCATGGAAGGCTGTTTCAGCTTTAGTCACCAGGAGGTTAGATCCATAAGCTTTCCCGTTGTCTGTTTCTACCTTCCAGTTCAACCTGGGAAGGATGGATCAGCTGAAAAGTCCTACCTCGTTGGCACTGGGAAAAGGCTCAAGCATAATAAATGCTGAAGTTGCTGGGAAGTTAGCAAACTACCGGGCAACAGAATAATGTTTTGATAAAAGAAAAATGGCTCAGAAAATAACAAATGTTGGCAAGGATGTAGAGAAATAGGAACTTTTGTGCATTTCTGGTAAGAATATAAAATAATGCAGCTGTTATGAGAAGCAGTATGGCGGTTCCTCAGAAAATTAAAACATAGAATTGCCATGTGACCCAGCAATTCCACTTCTGGGTATATATACATCCAGCTGGAGAGCATTATCCTAAGCGAATTAATGCAGGAACAGAAAACCAAATACCACATGTGCTCACTTACAAGTGGGAGCTAAACATCAGGTACTCATGGACATAAAGATGGCAACAATAGACACCGGGGACTGCTAGGGTAAGGGAAGGGTTGAAAAACTAACTG
This sequence comes from Homo sapiens, assembly GCF_000001405.40. Taxonomy (NCBI): domain Eukaryota; kingdom Metazoa; phylum Chordata; class Mammalia; order Primates; family Hominidae; genus Homo; species Homo sapiens. Next base: position 144,752 of record NT_187615.1, on the reverse strand, counting down.
TTAGATACCACGCTCAGAACCTGGGTGCTGGGATCATTTGTACCTCAAACCTCAGCTTCACGCAATATACTCAGGCAACAAACTTGCACATGTACCCTCTGAATTGAAAATAAAAGTTGAAAAAGTAAAACAAAATAATTTAAAAAAGAATTGAAAGCAGGACTTGAACAGATATTATATACCTGTGTTTCTTAGCAGCATTATTCATAATAGCCGAAAGGCAGAAGCACTCCAAATGTCCATCAGTAGGTGAATGGATAAACAAACTGTGGACCATGTGTACAACGGAATATTATTCAGCCTTAAAAAGAAAGGAAATGCTGACATATGCTACAAATGGATCAATCTTGGAGACATTATGCTAGGTGAAATAAGCCAGTAACAAAACGATAGATATTGTATGATTCTACTTATGTGGGGCTTCTAGGGTAGTCAGATTTGTAGAGACAGAAAGTAGAATGGTGATGGGCATGGGCTGGTGAAAGAGCAATGGGGTTGTTATTTAATGGGTATGGCATTTCAATTTAGAAAGGTAAAAGCATGTTCTTGACATGGATGGTGGTGATGGCTGTACAATGACATGAATGTACTTGATGTCTTTGAAGTGTATATTTGAAAAATGGTTAAAACGGCAAATTTTGTGTTGTATTTTACCACAATTTTTTTACAAAGCACAATGGAAGGAAGGGAAGGAAGGGGGGGAAGGGAGGAAGAAAGGAAAAAAAAGGACGGAATGAAGGTGGGAAGGAAGGAAAGAAGGAAAGAATGGCCCAAACCAGCAGATGTTAAGCCACAGTGGAATAGGAACCTTCGTTTCAGAACTAGGCTAAAGCCAAACGTCCCATAGAAAATTATTTCTGTTTAGTGTCTCTGTGAGCTGGGAATTAAATATTTCCCACCGTTTCTCTTCTTGGGGCAGCGAGCTGAGCGAAGAGAGAAAAAACAAAAACACTGTGCAACAATTTGTTGGAACAACTTTGTTCTTCAGGACATGAGCGTGTAAAATTGCTGGGTAGAATGTAATACTGAGTGCCACAATGTATGGAACAGATGAACCAGGAAATTCTGTTCTAGAATAATGTGGTCTGCTGAATAATTCAGGACTTTCCAGTAGAAAAAGGACTTGCAAAATGCAAGCATGTTCTCTGGTGTTGGCCGCCTCTTTCTCTATTGCAAACATGCAACTTCCTCACTTCCCCTCAACAGCATAGCTATTCCCAGGTGCACCCTGCTGTCACTTGTCTTTAAGAACATTTTGTTTTATCCTGAAGATGGTATGAAATGTCAATGAAAAGGATGCAGGCCTTCATTTGTGGTAAGAAGATATTATTTTAGTGTTCAAAAAGTCTTTGATCATTTCCAGTGACTTTGACCAGTTGACATAGCCATGAAGTGCAGCCTCGCCACCAGCTTGGAAGGCAACACAGGGAGCAAAGAAGCAAGAGCGCATGCATCCTTGTGCTTCTTTCATTTCTTCCTCCTTTCTCTCATTTTTTTCTTTCTTTTTAAGGAAAGATTGGTTTAAACGACGAATAAATAAGAGTGAAAGAAATGGTGGTGAAGAGAAGGGTGAGGGTGGAGAAAAACACCAGGGTGTTTTTATTTTATTTTATTTTTTCTATAGAGCACTCTGGGAAGTTTTGAAGGGGGAAAAAAGATTTAAGAAGTGATACTTTTGAACTTCAGCCAAAAGCAAGCCATCAAAATGGGACACTGTCTCTTTAAGTGCAAGCCTGCACAAACGAAAGGAAATTAATTAAGTATCCGACGCTGGTTTGGCGCCATGGAAAGAATACACAATCTGGGTCCTGCATGCCAAATCTGAAATGAAAATGAAGGTGATCCGTCATATTTGGCTGTTTTTTTAAAGACAGAATATATATTTTTGAAAGTTGACTAAGCAATTACCCAAATTAAAGAAACTGGAAAAGCAAACAGTGGTAAAAAATGCTTTAATTTTTTATAGGGTAAATTAGTTTTCAAATGTGTGCCTTTTTTAATCTTAATACCAAAGAGAAAGAAAAAAATTAAAAACAAAACAGAGGGTTCCTTAACTCTTTAATGCCGGCATCTAGGAGACTTTATTTACTACCTCTGCCAATGATAAAGTTTCCAAACTTAACGGGGAAATGTAAGAAAGCTCAGCCTCCTTCTAAGCTCAGGAAGAGATGTTTAGTATGTGTTTCTAAATTTGAGATTTCTTAAAGGCCGTATTCCTTTCTTAAGCATGGGTGTCTATGCCCCACTAGCCTTACATGCTGTCAGCAACCAGATGGGTTCTCTCCCTTGCCACCAACTCCTACCCTCTGAGCCACTAAGCTTGGGCCTTGCCATCTGGCAGGTAGGAGCAGCTTTGCTTTGCCATGATTCTGTATTATTCTCTGGCAAAGGCTAAGAGAAGAGAAGAAAGGGCTTTAGATCCAAAAATTTCCACCCTGAGGACAACAGGACATGTACCAGGTGGTCTGTATGGTCAACTAGACTTTGGTATTGCTCCTTCTTCAGTTAGGAAGAGAACATCAGAGGCAACGTTCCAGCAAACTTTATCTTATTCCCCAACATCCTAGAGCTGTTCATAGTACGCTAGGTGGAAGAAGTCATCAGAAAGAGGTGACTCCTGAAATAAATACAGCATTTATGGAGATTGTTGAAGACAAGGCTATGTTAGATTAGACGCTCTTACTTGCAACAGACAGAAAATCCGTAATAAATGGCCTTTGAAACAAAAGGTAGTTTACTGGCTTTTGTAAGTTGAAATGTCTACCATAAGTTTGGCTTTAACTCCGATTGAATTCAGGGCTTAGGCATGTGGTATTGACGAGAGTCTTCGCTTTCTATTTTTGCCAGTTCTTTCTCACTCTGGAGCTGTATCTTCACTCTTGTAAGGTTACTGAGAAAACGGAAAGCTATGAAACGTCAATCAAAGGCTTTGAAAATTTTGCTGCCCTTGATTGGCCTGATTGGGGTATGTGCCCATTTATGAATTCATCACCGTGTTCAGGGATGTGAGATGGGCATGCAGGATTACCCTGGTTTTATGTTCTGGAAACTAGGAGCAAAATTGTCTTCATGAAAAGTATCTGGGGACAGTGGATTTGCTTTGATTGATTGCTATAAGATAGAAGGGCATATAGTGAGTGGCAAAAGAAGATGGCCTTCTAAGTGAACTTAAACATCATTAACTGTTTTCAATAACCAACAATCACTTCACAACTAGTTCAAAGACTTAGGGATAGAGGCAAAAAACTCCTGGCAGCAAGCATGATGCAGAAGGATGGTTGTTGGAGGGAGTTTGCTGGCAGCTGGCTTAGTGATGTGGCCACCAACCCCTAATTTATTTATATTTATATATGTTTTATTTTTTTGGAGACAGAGTCTCACTTCGTTTCCCAGGCTGGAGTGCCATGGTGCATTCTCTGCTCACTGAAACCTGCGCCTCCTGGATTCAAGTGATTCTCCTGCCTCAGCCTCCTGAGTAGCTGGGATTACAGGCACCTGCCACCACACCTAGCTTTTTTTTGCATTTTTAGTGGAGACAAGGTCTCACCATGTTGGCCTGGCTGGTCTTGAACTCCTGACCTCAGGTGATCTGCCTGCCTTGGCCTCCCAAAGTACTGGGATTACAGGTGTGAGCCACTGCGCCTGGCCTACCAACCCCTAATTGAAATCAGAACACATCTGGCTTTTGTGTATCAGCTTGAACACTCTCTAGATGTGTCATCTTGGCCAAGTGACTTAACTTGTTTGATCCTTGGTTACATCACTTTTAAAACGGGGATAACAACACCTATCTTGTAGGGTGTACTAGTTTCCTAGAGGTGCTGTAAGAAATTACCACAAACTATGTGGCTTAAAACAACAGAAATTCATTCTCTTAATTCTGGAGGCTATACATTCAAAATCAAGGTGTTGGCATGGCCAAGCCACACTTTCTCTGAAGGCTGTGGGGAATAAATTGTTCCATTCTCTTTTCTTAGTTCCTGGTGTTGCCAGTAATCCTTGGTGTTCCTCAGCTTGTAGAGGGATCACTCCAGTTCCCATCTCTGTTTCAGTGTTTTTCCTCTTTGTCCACATCTCTTCTCTTCTTCTTCTTCTTTTTTTTTTTTTGAGATGGAGTCTTGCTCTGTCGCCCAGGCTGGAGTGCAGTGGTGCGGTCTGGGCTCACTGAAAGCTCCGCCTCCCAGGTTCTCCTGCCTCAGCCTCCTGAGTAGCTGGGACTACAGGTGCTCGCCACCATGCCTGGCTAATTTTTGTATTTTTAGTAGAGACGGAGTTTCACCGTGTTAGCCAGGATGGTCTTGATCTGACCTCGTGATCCGCCCGCCTCAGCCTCCCAAAGTGCCGGGATTACAGGTGTGAGCCACAGCGCCCAGCCATCTCTTATCTTCTTATAAGGACATCTGACTAAATTCTTTTAAGGAATGAATTCTTATAAGGACTGAATTAGGGCAGGCCGTAATTCAGTGTGACCTCATTTTCACTTGATTATCTCAGTTAAACCCTATTTCTGAATAAGGTCATATTCACAGGTATGGGGGCTTAGGATTTCTACATATGTTTTTTGGGGGAAGCAATTCAGCTCATAACATACAGTTACATAATAATCATGTGAGATGATGCATTTAAACATCATTGTCCGCTAATGCTCCCCAGCCAGCTATTCAAAGCTTGCAGTGTTAGGATAAGACAGTGTTAAAAAATGTATTTTACGATGTATAGCAAATATATAGACACTTGCTCAAAATGTAAGTATAACCTCAAAAATTTGTTTTAAACTGAGCACAGCCATGTAAACAACACCCAGATCAAGAAATGGAACATTGCTAGGACATAGGATCATAGACTAAGCATATGTTTAGCCTCCTTGAATAAGACTAAATGGTATTCCAAAGCAGTTGTACCAATTTACACTCCCAAAGCAAGGTATACAAGTTTCAGTTGTGCAACATTCAAGAGAGAAATTTTGTATTTCTTCTAGTCTTTTCCTGTTGATGCCTGAAACATCTTATCAAGATCTGTAAGAAGGTACTAAAGAAAATCCTAGTTTAGTTCTCTCCTCTGATCAAAAATTAATAAAAATATAGGAAAATCTTGGCTTAACATCTCTTCTGATTAACAAATGAGGGATGGACTGCCTAATGTGACTTCTGGAACACAAGTCAAGGTGGTCTTTATGGACTTCTGCAAATGTAGATACTTCCCTCACATCACTATGTGGCTTATCTGGTTTCCAGGAATTTAAGGTTCTTGGGTACTTGATGTGTTGTGACATTTAATTTGGATATACATCTTTATTTAGACCTGGGAATAAGGGACATAGAATATATTAATGCATTCATAATAGATAACTTGAGGGTCTGAGGTCCACAGAAGCTCCATAAGTTGCCCAAGGTCAGCTAAGGAGTGTCAGTGACTGAGTTGGAGGCTAAAAATTTGTATGTAGCCACTGATTTTCACACTAAATGTTCATATGTTTCTATTTACTTGAGTATTTTCATATATGACCCAAGGGGTCACACAATTGTTAAGTCAAGGAAGTTTCTTTCTTTATTGTCATTTGCTAGAATAATCTATGCTGATAGTTGAAAATATAAAAGCTATCAGCACTTTGTCATCCAACACTGCTACTATTCTTTATAGCTACTTGATTCAGCATCCAGCTAATCTCTTCTTCGTTTTCTTCCAGACTCTGATTGTGTTAATCCTCTCTCTCCTACCCCAGAAACCTTATGGGGAGCAAGATTGTTTTCATCTATCTTTTCCAGAAACTGCAGGGACTTCAAAAAAAATCATGATTGCCAAAAGGACTTTAACTGTCTTGAACCATAGAAAGAACCAACAAAGGACAGAATTTAAAACAGGTCCAGTTACAGACTTCGAATATGCTCCCTCTTAAAAGTACAATGTATGAAGCCTCTGAGGCTTCTTGGAAAGGTCAATAACTTTGAAATCGATATAGCTGAGTTCAAATCCAGGATTTGGATTTGCACCTTGGACCTTTTAGAGCCTCTATTTCTATCATTTTATAATGATGATAATGTTGCAAGACTTAGAGATAGTAAATTTCAAAACTCAGCCCAATGTCTTACACTAAGCTGTAGACATCATTATTGGTATTATTACCTATTATTGAAGTAAGGTATATTCAAGACACATTCATGTACTTTATTATCAAAGTAACATGTTTGTTAAGCTATGTAGGAATTCTCTAAAACAATTAAAGAAGAAGCAAGAACAGGCTTTTTCCTGAATACTTAACACTTAATGCAATATTAGCACAGATGTTGGAGGAACCACAGCCTGTTTGTAAGTACACTTTCAAACAGAAAAGTGCCAGGGCAGTGGTTCTCAAGCACAGATGAGTCTCTTCTATGGCTTTAAAAACATACAACACTCTGAGCACTTTCCCTGAAATATTGATGCGTATTTTAATATGGTGCTCAGTTCTGGAGCCAGACTGCCTGTGTGTGGATTCCAGCTCTCCCATTACTAGCTAGGTAACTTTATGGTGTTATTTAATTTCACGGCTCCGGCTTCCCCAGCTTCCCCAGCTTACTCTGTATACGCAGGTTACTCTGTAGCATAAAGAGAACACTGGCACTTGCCCATTACATAGGAAGGACTCAACAAATGCTTGCTCTCATCAAGAGGTAGGAGTCTGTATTAAAAATGAAAAACAGAAACAAAAAATTCCCTGACAAATTTGTAGTTCAAATTTGTTTGCGAACCACTGACCTAGTGACAGAATGTAATATTGCATTTTGGGTAAAAATCTCATATCCCAGATTGTAACTTCTTAAATTCTTCACTTTTTCTGAGATCTTAAAAAAAACCCAAAACTTATGGGTATAAAATTGAATGAGATATATCTTTGTCTTGAGAAAAATTAAATTATATATATAGTTTTGAATACACACACACCTTTCTGTTGGTAAAAAGCATTGATCCATATGTACTTCTGTTTTATAATTAATTACACTGAAATTGCCTCCTTATAAATAAATAAGAATGTGAGAAACTGGGGTAGATTTCAGTTTACAAGGTCACACCTCCCAGAATCCAGAAAATGCTTTTTCCTAACAGTAGAGGTGACTTAACCCACATGACAATTGAACAAGTTTTTAGTACCAGTCCTGATCTTTGCATTAGGGATTAAAGAAGCTGCAGCTTAATATTTGAAGTATTGGCATCATGTCCTCTCTGTAGCTTGTCTGGCTCGGAACTTGTGAATTTTTTCTGATGACTACTTCAGGCTTTGTTCTGAAACAGCTCTTTCTGTGGTGCCAGATCTGGTAGACCAATTTCTAGTTCGGTTTCCATGTTTAAGTTCTCCTTGTTTCCTGCCTCAGAACCTGTAGAGTCTCCATAAATTGGTTTTCAAATTGCCAGTGCTCTTTCCTGCAGTGCTGATGGGGAGGGACCTCAATCTATTCACAGATTTCCCTGTCTGTCTGGATTTTTCAAGATTATCTGCTTACACATCCACAGGCTTCATGTTTTATCTCCAATAAAAAAAAATTTAGTATTTTGAGTTTTCTCTCTTTTTCATGTGATCAGTCTAGGTTAAGTTTTGTCAATTTTGTTGATCTTTTCAAAGAATCAACTTTAGTCTTTGTTGACTTTATAATTGTTCTATGTTTAATTTCATTTATTTCTGTTCTATTCTTTATTATTTCCTTTTTTCTGATTCTTTGGGTTTAGTTTGTTCTTGTTTTTCCAGTTACCTAAAGTGGAAGGTTAGGTTACTGGCTTGAGCCCTAATTTTTTTTTAATATAGGAACTTACAGACATAAATTTCCCCCCAAGCACAGCTTTAACTTAAACCTGTAAGTTATGTTGTATTTTTGTCTTCATTCATCTCAAAGGATGTTCTAATTTTTCTAATAACTACTTCTTTGAAACATTGGTTATTTATGAATGTGTATTTACCTATTTGTAAATTTCCCAAACTTCCATTTGTTGTTAATTTCTAATCTAATTGTATGTAGTTAGATAACATATTCTGTATGATTTCAATCTCGTAAAATTTATTGAAGATTGTTTTATGGCCTAGCATATGGAGAATATTCTGTACGTACTTGAAAAGAATGTGTGTCTGCTGTTTTTGAGTGAAAGGTTCTATTAGATCTCTTAAGTCTATTTGTTTTAGGGTGTCGTTTAGGTCTTCAATGACATTATCTTCTGTCTAGTTGTTTTACCCATTATTGAAAGTACATACTGAAGTCTCTAATCACGTCGAATTGTCTATTCTCCCTTCAATGCCGTCATTGTTTGCTTTATGCATTTTGGTGGCTCTGTTGTTGGTGAATATATGTTTATAAGTGTTATGTCTTCCTGATACATTGATCCTTCTATCACTATAAATTGTCTCTCTTCATAGCTAGTAACATTTTTATTTTAAAATTATACTTAGCCTAATATTTGTATATTAGTACATATTAGCGTATCACTTCAACTCTCTTATGGTTGCTATTGGCATGATATATTTTATTTTCATGATTTTACTTACATCTTTGAATCCAAAGTATGTCTTCCATAGACAGCATATACTTGGATTTTATTATTGTTGTATTCCCCAGTGTGATAATCTTTGCCTTTTGATTAGATTGTTCAGTCTATTCATGTTTAATGATATTAATGAAGTGATGAACTTTAGTTCTGCCATTTAAATTTTTGTTTGTTCTGCCATTTAAATTTTTGTTTTCTACATATCTTCAGAATTTTGTGTTCCTTTGTTTCTCCTTTACCTGTTCCTTTTGCAGCAAGTGGAAAATTTCCAGTAAAAATTTTAATTCCTTTAATAATTTTAATACTATTCAAAAATTTACTTGCTTTGTGGTTGGTCTAGGGTTTACAATATATGTCTTAATGTATCAGAATTTACTTCAGACTTATAGTAATTCAATTCCAGTGAGATACAGAAACTTTACTCCTATATAGCTGGATATCTCCATATAATTATTTCTTCTGTGCTGTTATTGTAATACACTATGTGTGTGTGTGTGTTATTCAGTATATTGTTATATGTCTTTTAGAGAAGTTGAGAGAAGAAAGGAGAGCAAGTATGTATTTATGAAGTTTGTTGTAGGAACCATTTTATTTACCATTTCTGGTTCTCTTTATTTTTCTTCTGTGGATTTAATTTATCATGTGGTATCATTTTCTTACTCCAGTAGGGCTTTGCTCCTATTCACCTCCTTTATGCTATTATTGTCTGATATGCTACACTTCTCTATATTATAGTCCCAACACACTTACATGCATATTATATAATGCAATTGCTTTTTAAATCCAGGTATGATAACAAAAAAGAGGAAATATACAATAATATTGTTTTTCATAATTACCCATATAATTAGCACTACTGAAGCTCTTTATTTTTTCCATGTAGAATCAGATTACTTTTGTGTGTTACTTGCTTTCAGCCTGAATAATTTCTTTTAATATTTTTTATAATGCAGACCTACAAGAAAAAATTTCAGTTTTTGTTTCTGTTGAACTGTCTTTATTTTACTTTCTTGTTTGAATGATGTCTTTACTGTATAGAATATTCTTAGTTGGCATTCCCCTCCCTACCAGTACTTTGAATATACGATTCCAGTGCCTCTGGCCTTCATGTTTTTTGATGAGAAGTCAGCTGTTATTTATTGAGTTTTGTGTGTGTGGGTGTGTGGGTGTATATATAAGGTGTGTATATATAATGTGACTACATATACATATATAATGTGTCTAAGAGTGGTAGTCTTTGGTAATGATTCTACTTGGAGTTCATTGAGATTCCTAATTTTCAGATTAATGATTTTCATCAAATCTGGGGAGTTTTTAGTCAGTATTTCTAAGAAAATATTTTTGTTTCTCTCTCTACTCTTTATTTGGTACTCCCATTTCATGTTTTGAGGCTTTATTGATTTTTCTTCATATTTTTCTTTCTGTTCTTCTGATTATGTAATCTCTCTTAATCTAACTTTACATTTGCTGTTTTATTTATTTATTTATTTTTCTTCTGCCAGCTAATATGGTGCTGGAGACATATGAGCCATGCCAGTAGCCTATCTCTCATGGGGTAAAAACTTTAGCCCTACACTGCTGATTGTCTGCAGTAAATTTTTTATTTTGGTTATTGTACTTTTCAATGACATAATTCTAATTTAGTTCTTTTAAAAAACAATTTATACTTGTTGATGTTTTCTATTTTATAAGCCATTCTCATAAAACCTTCCTTTACATGTTTAAACATGGTTCCCTGTGGTTTTTGGAATGTATTTATGATAATAGCATGAAAGTCTTTGTCTGCCAAGTCTAACATCTGGGCCCACATATATATATAGTTTCAATTATTCACTTTTATTTTCCGTGTATGCATCAGATGTTTTCTTTACATGTCTTGTAGTTTCTTTTGTTGAAATGGACCTTTTGGATACCAAACCTCACCTTGTCCCCATGGACTTGTTGTTCTTGTTTGCTTGTTTCTTTGTTTATGGACTTAGCTAGAACAGTTGCGGAAAGTAAATTTCATCCACAGCATAATGCCTCTGGTGTCACTCCACAGAGAGTGCAGCTTTGGGCATACGTGCAATCTTTCTGACCAACAGAGATAAGTGTGATTCTACCCAAGCTTTCTTTGCCTATTCCTTTTCCCAGCCTTCCTCTTAAGCTTCTTGCTGGTATGTCTATTGATGTTATATTCAGCTATTATAATTCACTATTTGCAAATTGATTGCTGTATTGTTTTCACCAAAATTCTGTGACTTAAATTGTTCCACAGTCCGATCCAATTAAATTCAGGCATCTTTTTCAAGTTAGGGTGTTGCTAGACTTTGATGTTTGCCCCAACTCCAAGCCTTCTAGTGGTCTACTGTTTCACTTACTCCTATCATGAAGCTATCAGTGTCCTCTCTATTGCTCATTACTAGTATGTCTATTGCGAGTTTCCCCATAGTCAGTTGCATATAAACTCAATGCCCTTAGGAAGAGTTTCAGAGCTCTCCGTTCTCATGGACTGCCTATCCCCTTGAGCAAAAACTGCACAACTGCTCTGGAGTTGGTAAAAAGGACAGCATCACACTTCTTCAGAAGTGACACTCCTTCATTATTATTGGAGCACTGGTCAGGTATGGTAGCTCCTGATCTTCTCAGCTTGCCCCTTCCTCTGTGAAACCTTTGCTTTATGAGCAAGCTGTGGTGGGGACAATGAGAGCCCACTATTCTTAGTCTGCAAAATCTAGAGTACAATTTCTACCCATTGTTCTCCAGTTCTTTCAACCCTTTCTGCCTGGAATCATTCTGAAACATGGTGCTGGGGGCATATGAGAGATGCCAATAGCCTGTCTCTCCTGGGGTAAAACTTTAATCATAGACTGGAGCTAAAGGGGGAAAGGAAGTCCTAACTTTATGGTCATCAATGCAGAGTAGGCTCCTATCACACTAAAATTTGGAGTTGTGGGGAGGGAGTTCATGACTCAAATGCACACATGACTCTTATTGTTTTTACTGAGATTTATTAAAGTTTTTAAATCAAATGTTTACTTTTAGAGACATTACATTAAAAATAATTTTCACCAGTTAAAAGTTATTTCTCTGAGGAGAGAGTCTGCTAGCTTTTTCTACTGCTCTTTCAGAAGTCCCAGCTCCTCTGTCTTCTTTTTCTGACATCATTGTAATTTCATTTTTGACCTGATGCTACTTATTGATCTTTGCCTGTTCTACTTTATTCTGACATTGGGAACACTTGAGTATGTGCTATAAGAATAGGAATGCTGAAGGCAACCACAGGACTGTGTATTAAACCTAATGCACATTAGGTCAGATTGCCTTCTCGCCTGAGGGAGGGGTGAGGTTTTCCTACCCCATCTCTATTAAAAGCCCAAACAGGAAATGCTTACCAACCTCCAGAGAAATATACACTTAGCACAATCTCTATGACTGGTCTTATGCTACAGGATTTTCCCAAGCAAATAGCGTCACTGAATTTCTCCAGGCTTCTGTCCATAGAGTATCTATTTTACTTCATGTTTTGACTGGCCAGAGATGGAAGGGACAGTTTAGGGGACTTTTTATGGAGGGGAGATTAGATAACATGTTGTTGGAGGAGGAGTTTCATAAAGAGAGGAATCCATTGAGAAACATTTTAAAGCCACTGGCCCAGGATCACCACAGAAGGTCCAGATCTGACCTTTTTCCTCTCTAGGGAACAAAGGAATATATATATCAATATTATTTTTGTATTGATTCCATCTTCTCCAATAACTAAAAGTACAAGATTGATAAAAATAGAATTAAGTCAATGGATTATGAAGATATAGAAGTTCAAACCTGCGGGAGTATGTAATAAAATGGGTATGGGGGAGATGAAGAAAAGGAAGGTGTCAAGAATTACCTAAATGTCTATGATTGTTCAACAGTGGATCAAATTTCTTATGGAGAGAGTGTAGGGAGAAAAAAGAAAGAGCCTAGGATAGACTTTTGAATATTAACAAGGAACTAAAAGCTTCTGTTGAAGAAGATGAGCCTATGAGATAATTGAGACATGGAGAAAAGGGTGAAAGAAAGAAAATTAGGAGCTTCTGGGAAAAGATAATGTTTAATTTAAAGAAAGTAGTCGACGGTATGATTTGCTCTTAAGAAGTTATAGCAGGAGAGGCTGAAAAGGACATTTGATTCTGTGACATGGATGTCATTGGAGACCGTAGTAGAAAGTGATTGTGAAAGGGATGGAGCCGAGTTCTATTAGAGATTTGAGAAATGAATGGGAGATGACTTTGTGGAAATAGGCACGTGTAGGCAAGAGATGACTGGTGCAAACTCCTTTTTCCTTTTTAACTCAGGAGAGACATTAAGAGAGCAGAAAATTACTAAAGAAATAAGGAGATAATTCACTATGGAGAGGAAGTTCATCACAAGAAGGAATGAGGGCAAGACTAACTCATCTAGTGCATGGGACTGAGAACAGAGTAAAACACTGGAACTAGACAGACACCCTGGCCCTGGTTTTTATTACCTGTGTAACTGTATAAGCAATACACTTAGTCTCTCTGCACCTTGGTTTTCTTGTTTGTAAAGTGAGAGTAATTAAACCTATATTGAAAGGTTCCCATGACACACAAAAGGAGGGATCACAAAGGAGACCATGTATATCAATCACCAGGTGCATAATGTGTTAATAAATATTTCTTTATCCAGTCTATCATTGATGGGCGTTTGGGTTGGTTCCAAGTCTTTGCTATTGTAAATAGTGCTGCAGTAAACATACGTGTACGTGTGTCTTCATAGTAGAATGATTTATATTCCTTTGGGTATATACCCAGTAATGGGATTGCTGGGTCAAATGGTATTTCTGGCTCTGGATCCTTGAGGAATAGCCACACTGTCTTCTACTTGTAACTTGCAACTAAGGATAGATGTTATATTGTCTCTTTTATATTTATCAAATAAATGTTAGTTGACTTGTAAAAAATAAAGTTTCTTCTTTTGCTCAACTTTGCTTACCCTATTTTCTTCCAAATGTATATGAATGTCTTACTAATGTTTTGTTTTGTGCATAAATACCTTTGCGGGAACACTGTTTATTCAATTAAAGTCATTGAGACAATACATACTATTTATTGAGCATCTAGGTGAACAAAGGGAATCTCTGAGGGGCTCACAAATGCGCATGACACAATTAGATCACATTTAAATAGAATTACTCCATCCCATTGTAGAAAAATAAAGCTATATGGGAGAGTATAGGAGCATATATAGCAGACATTTTGAATCTAGGCTACAGAGGTTAGTGTTCTGGGGACAGCAATGGCTGTGATGGAGACAGAAATGCATTGATGTGAGAAATTTTAGGTGGGAGAGTAAACAGAGGTGGAAATAAACTAGAACCAGTTGGTGAGTGGGAAGGATGAGACAAATATAATGCTAAAAGTTTTGGCTTGGGTGTCTGGAGAGGTGGGTAGTTTCATTCCCCGAGAATTGTCTTGTTGCCTCGTTGAGTGGCCACTGTCACTACAAAGCTGTATGTTGAGCAGAACAAAACATCAGTAACACACTCCATATAACTTGGAGAATTTCTGATGATGGTGCAGAACTAAGTGAACTTTTGGTGTGATCTGCACAGGAGAATATGATATATATGAAAAGGTCTATAACATTTTTAGGAGTAAAGCACTAAAGTATTCCAGAATCAATGATTGCTATAATCAGTTTCACAGAAAATGCTTCTATGAATATTGCCAATCGTGCAAAAACTGTGCATTTTGACATGTGTCACTTCTAGAAAAAGTTATTACAGGACATTAGTGGCCTTCCTCATGTGCTCTCTAAACATCGAAAGCTCCACTATGGCAACTGCCGGCAAACAGCAGGAACAACAGCAGATTCCAGCAAGTGCTTTTTCTTCTGTCTGTGTTTTGACTGTCATAGTTTCAGCTTGTAACAAAAGGAGTAGGTTTTCCTGTGGCTAAATGGACCTGGGAGGTTTGAAAAGTAAATCATTAAAGGGTTTCATGATGAGATTGAAATATATTATTGATATGTTGAACACCACATGGGTATAAAACAAAAGCAATGTAAACAGAGAATGTCTCCCCACTGACCCAAGTGAGGAATTTCCAGATGCCGTCACAGCGGGTTCCGTGGATGGAACCTTTGCTGATTCCAGAAGGTCAAACTCGTGACCTTCTCTGGACACACACACATGCACCCACACTAAACACATGAATACACACACACACATATATTCACATTCTTTTAAACTCAGCACTGTAAACTTCTGATAGCATCGGTTGCTTTTCTGCCTTGATGGAACTTCTGAACATTTATTTTGAGTTTTGCAATAATAGATGTGATTTGAAGAGACAGAGAATTTCCCATCCACCAGAAGAAGAGTAATTTCTATGTTAAAGTCACGATCAATCACACTGAGATTCTTTTTTATTAATGCTTTGTAGGCTAAGAGAGCATCGGAGCTGGAGGGGAAATCTGAGAGCACACTCTTAGTTTAACAGATGTAAAGTAGTAGAAGGTAGAAATGACTTATTATACCTAAACTCAGACAACTGGTCAGTGGCAGAGCACATGTGAAAAACAGTCTTCTTGTGCCCTTTCCATGCTCATTTTATCATAATGTCATATCTCCTTTTCAGTTTTCCTCAGTGATGATCTTACAGACAGTATGAATAATTCCAAATAGAGAACCATTTGGGAATCAGTTATTCATTCCTTTTGTTTTCTCCATAAATGTTTTATGTTGGGTTATGCTTTCTTTAGACTATTTCAGTTTCTGAGTAATCTATCATGCTGGGATCTATGTTCCATCAGCATACCATGTGGCAGAGGAAAAGCAACCCAAAATTCTTTAAAAATAAATTTTACCTATAGAGTTCAATATTTTAGTTTTCTGGGGTTAAGCATTATTATTTTTCTGTTTTATTTGCTAGAATACGCAAGCTTTGATGCATGTTCTAATGAGGGTCACTACACCTCAGAACTCTATGCTCTTTACATCATACCTTTTATTTTAAGTATGCTTATTTTCTAAAATCTACTTTGTGGCCAAGTATGTACTTTATGCATAAAAATAAAAACCCACAAGGTTGTAGAAAGAGCATGGCTTTTGTATGAGTAAACCCAGTTTCAAATCCTAGTTCCTTCACTTCTCAGCTCTGAGAAAATGATCTCTGTTTTCTCATCAGCATCATTTGTTAAAGTGTGGATCCCATAGCATGGCTATAAAGACAAAATAAAATAATGCATGTAAGGTCCTTGCACAATACAGGACATTGGTATGGGAAATAACAAAATAATTTAAACAGTTCATTTCAGTTTGCTCACTTTAATATTCCATTACAATTTTATAAGCCACACTTGGGCTCCATGAGTTTTACGTAAGTCATTCTGTTATGAGAAATTAACAATGAAAATGCTTTAGAAAAAAATTACCTACTGTAAAGGAAAATGAAAGGTGATAGTGATAGTCATTTTGGGGGCATTTATAAAACGATTACATTATTTTTCCAACATTATTCTAGTCGTGAGTAATACATATGCAAAGATAATTTCTAAAGGAATGGTAAAGCCTCCTCATTCAACTCCGTTAAACACTACAATCCTTAAAACTCATGGCTTTACAGGAGGCTGGTCAGTTCTGATGATAGCAGTGTTCTCTTCCATGCTCTGTCATGGAGAATTTTGACCAGGTAAAGGACCATGGCTGGATTGCAGAGCTTAAGACATGGTACATCGCCTGATGGTGAAATAATAGCTCTAAACTTTAAGAACTTGGCAGCCCTCTCAACTATCCAATCGAAACCTCTTATTTTACAGCTATGGACATCAGAGTGCACAAATTTCACTTTAAAAATCAGTAAATAGATTGGCATCTAGCAGAGAAATGTTCAATAAATACTTGTTGAATGACACCAAGTATATGTCTTTTGTACAAAAGTATTAGGTTGGTGCGAAAGTAATTGTGTTCTTTACCATTACTTTTGTACCAACCTAATAGATTGTTTTAAGACTAAGCAGATTAGGAAAATTGAAATGATGGCTCTTTGAGATTTTAAAAATTGCTATCTTCAGTTTTAATTTCTTTGGAAATTCACTTTCATTTTCCTTGAGTTTAACTTTCTTTCAACATGTTGATAATAGACAATTAATTCCAAAACAATACATTAAATTGTTCTAAGAAAGCTGGCTTTTTTTTTCTTTAAGTTCCTTACTGAGACAGCTGTGGCAGACAAATGCTTCCCTGTTTCTTTTCCTTTCTTTTTTCTTCTCCTTTTTATTTTTATTTTTTTTCTCTGCTCAGGGATGAGTGATTGTTTCCTTCCACAAATTAAAATGAATCTCAAGGTCAGAGCATGCATTTATTTTGTTCTTTTTCTCTAAGATGATCAGTTTCAATACCATTTGCAGTTTTTGTGACTTTTTTTCAATTATTGATTTATACAGTTTAGGATCTTGCTTTGGGTCCTTTTATGCAACAGGTTTTCAGAGTGGTCAAAACAGAAGCATAAAGGGGCTGTTTTGCGAGTATTTTAATCTTAGCCCAAAGCATTTGGAAACTTCTGAGTGAATATGTTCTGCTAAGTATTATAATCTTTCTCTAACAATTTAAAATTTTAAGCACCAGTGACGTGATATTTACACACCTAGACCTAGACTGCCTCAAAGAGGAAATGAGTATGTCTACATGTTCTTCACTGAAGCTGCATTATAACTGAGGGGCTAAGCAATTTCTATCATGTGCAATGAAATCCTGACCTGATCCAAGGTCCAATTATGAATTCTGAGTCACAGGCACACAAGTAATATCACATGAGGCCTTGTAGTTGGTTAATATTTTCTTCTTAGAACATGCTTTTACCAAAGAACTCATTCTTTTGTTGAGTTTCTGAACCAAATTCAATAAATGTCTTTAGATTTCAATAATTACTTAAAAGCAGGGTTAAATTTTAGAGACAGAAATATTTGGATCTTTCTTCCTTTGATGGTTCCAAGATCATGCTAAACAATATAGACAACCTACAGAATGATTCTTTACATGAATACTTCCAATTATTAGTGTGAATGAGATAAGTAAAATTTCTAAATAAAAGAGTGACTCTCTTAGGTAAGTTTTTACTTTTGAAAAAATTCTGTATATTAGCAATCATATAGTCATACCGATCCTACATTGGCAAAGATTTGTTTGTACCTAGGATAAATAATAAAAACCCTTGAGTAGATTAATGGATACTGTATTCCTCTTTTTTTCTTTTTCTTTTTCCTTATGTAAATTGTCAACAGTACATCCTATGAGAAACTGGAGAAGCAGTGAGTAGCCCAGAGCCAATAATTACCTTTTCTCTTTGTTTACACCAAGGTTCAGAGGGCATTTCTTTTTCTTTTCCATTGAAAAAAATCCCTCCTCATTCTCCAAAACTCGTTAATAGTAAAAAATAATCCCCAGTCCAACTAATATCGTTAATAAGAATGGAAAGCACTGGACATCAGCCCCTCTTGCCCAATGCCTTCTTTTCCTTCCCAAGTGAGGAATGTTAACTGCATTGTGCTGTAATGAGCCATGCCCAAACTACTGTTTTCTGGTCCACTGTTTATTTGATTTCTTTATTGTAATGAAACTCAGATGGTTGGTGTTTACACTAGCAGTGTGCTGGGAGATCACGCTGGGAACCATTCTAATTAGCTGCAAGTGGGTCTCAGAATTAGAATGGAGGAAAGAACAAATTTTTAGTAACGACTTTAAATTGAAGCCCTCATTTATTTTCATTATGGCCAGACCAGAAGCTAGCTAATGTTTCCCAGGTCTTTCCGTGCAAGGCCTGTGGCTCAGCTCACTGGAGAAGGATTCAGCTATTTTAGATGCACTTCAGCGTACATTGCTCCAGGAAAGAGAATGTTTAAGGTAACACTGGAGCAAGGAGCCCAGCTGGAGTTTTCAGAGCAGAAGATGAAGTGGACACAAGCAGAGAGCAAGCTCTCTGCCTGACTCTGAATTCACTTCATATAAAGGATTATGTTTCCTGAGCTCTGTTCTGAAATCACCTTTCTCTGCGTGGGTGTATTCTCAGAAATGAAATCTTTTGGTGTTCATAGCAAAATGAACAGTGAATTATGTTTTACCATTCAGCACACAACGGAGACCTCAGTCTAACAAGAAAATGTCTTGCCCTAATGAGCCAGTGTTTACATATCTTCTGGGTTTGTGGTGTTCTTTCTTTGGAAGCAACTAATTGGTCAATCATAAGAGATTTTGAACTATCTAGTCAGACTTCATGTAGAGAGTACCTCTAACACATGCTCTGTAGCATGAAACATCATTTTAATGGTTACAACATGTGGCCAGATGCATTCCATGGCTTATTTTGTGATGTAATTCTAGCATGTGAATTGGTAAAACATGATTTATAAAAGCTACAATAGTCTTACTGGAGTAATCAACAGTTCTTCTCTGTAGAGGCATCTATGTCTACGTGTTCTTGTGTGCTTTTTTTTTTTTTTAACCTACCAACTTTGGGGGTGACTTTAATGAATTTTAAAAGTAGAGTTTAACATATTTGCTGTTTGCTATATAAAAATTAAATTGTGTTTTGCAGAAAATAGTGCAGTATTTGTAATCTTGTTCTGGAAGACTTTTTTGTTCTTTTCTGTTCTTTCAAATGTGATAATGCTAATAACCTGACTTTTTTTCTGAATGGGAGAAAATACTTGGAAATCATATATCTAATGCAGTACTTTTACCTAGGGCAAGCTTGTCCAACATGTGACCCAAGACAGCTTTGAATGTGGCCCAATAGAAATTCATAAACATTATGAGATTTTTTTGGTGATTTTTTTTTGCGATTTTTTTTTTTTTTTTTAGCTCATCAGCTATTATTAGTGTTAGTGTATTTTATGGGTGGCCCAAGACAATTCTTCTATGATGTGGCCCAGGGGAAGCCAAAATTTTGGACATTCCTGGCCTGGAGTATATAAAGAATTCCTACAACAAAATGATTAAAAGACAACGCAATTAAAATGGGCAAATGATCTGAATATTTTTGCAAAATAAAAATACAAATATTTAATCAGAATATGAATGAATTTAATATATACATATTTAATTAGAACATAAATGAATTTAAACATGAAATGATGTGTGATATCATTAGTCACCAAGAAAATGCAAATCCAAGCCACAGTAAGTTATTCACTAGGACTGTCATAATCAAAAGGCAGATAATGAGAAGTGTGGTTGAGGATGCAGAGAAATTGAAACTCTCATATTCTGCTGATGGAAATGTGAAATGGTGCAGCCATTTTGGATAATAGTCTGGCAGTTTCTCAAAATGTTAAACACAGAGTTACCATACAACTCAGCAATTCCACCCCAGGTACATAACCAAGAGAAATAAAAACATATGTCCACATGAACACTTGTACATAAATATTTAACAACATTAAGCACCAGAAATGTTAATCAACTGATGAATAGGTAAACATAATGTACATTCATACCATGGAATATTAACAATAAAATGAATGGAGTTCTGATACATAATATAGCATAGATGAATTTTAAAAATATTTTACTAAGTGAAAGAAGCTGGTCACAACCCATATAGTATGATTCCATTTATATGAAATGTCCAGAAAGGGCAGATCTATAGATAGAATAGAGATAGAGAGTAGATTATAGAGAGAAAGTTGATTAGTTGTTGCTTAGGGATGAGGAAGGGGATGGGGGAATTTTGGAGTAGTGATTAAAAGATTTGGGATTTCCTTTGGGATGATAAATATGTTCTAAAACTGAATGTGATTGCAGTATATCTGTTAACATACTAGGTTGGTGCAAAAGTAATGTAAAACCACAATTACTTTTACATCAACCGAATACTCAAAACTCTCGAATTGTATGCTTTGACTGTGTATAATTGAAGTGTATGTTATGTGAATTATAATTCAAGACAGTTGTGACAAAAAAATTTGATGTTTATTTGCTTTAAAATAAAATTTCATTTTAAAAAAAAAATATGAAAGAGAATAGGCCTATGGAAAAGTCCTTCTGCAAACAGCAGGCATGCAGCACTCCCTGCAATTCCAGGAGGGCGCAGTGTATTTCCTTTCCTGAAGCCTGTGCTTACCTTGTCCCTCTGTCTGGAATGTCTTTGCACTGTTAAAAGCCTTCCAATTCTCCAAAGTCCACCACCATTCCTATTTCTTCCATGAAGCCTTCCTGGATGAGTCTAGCTGGGATACTCTTTTCTTGGTGCCCTCCCAGAACACAGTAATAGCAACCATCTCCCAAGTTTTGATCAGAAGAGTAGGGTCATTTAGATATTAAGTAGTCTAAACTCATCATTTTATAGATGAGAGACTCAACACACAGGAAGACTGCCCTACTCAAAGTTACATAACTATTCGAGATAAAATCAAGATTTCAGTTCTTGATAGACCCTGAAGGCGAGAGTTAAGCACTGCCAACTTCCAAAAAAATGACCAAAAAAGGAAAATATGTCTGTTTTGTAATTAATTTTGTTACAAAATCCTTTTTGCTTTGATAGACCTACCATTCCTGGCCTGATTGTGGGATTGCAGGACTTGATATCAGAGGAAGGAGGGTCTTTCTGGGAACCAGAGGTGCTGTTGGAAAAGTCAGGACAATTTAAGGCTGTGCACCAGATTATAACACATTTCCATCCTATTACAAGTAAAGACATGGTCGAAGGGAACAGTGACAGTTTCAGGGAAATACTGAGTTTCAATGGTGGTGGTTTTCTATGAGACTTCATTCCAGTGATCTTTATGATAGCTTCTCTCTTACATAGAGTCAGAGACACGATTTATGCATGATGTGGTTTATAAAAAGAAGCCTTGGGTAAAATGAAATTTAATAGTCATATGGAGAAAACAGAATAGCATAGGCTTTATGCAAATTAAAATTTAATCTAGTTAACTGTACATGTTTTGAGAGAACAAAAGAAACTTGAGGAGGTCTAGTCCTTGGGCCTGCAGGAATGAACTCATTCATCTAAATTTCCATGGGCGACAATGGGTATAAAGTAAATAGTACCTCCCCACCTCACAGCACTGTTGGGAAGCTCCAAAGGAGATACATCAACGTGGAAGACAGCGTGGCGATTTCTCAAGTATCTAGAACTAGAAATACCATTTGACCCAGCCATCCCATTACTGGGTATATATCCAGAGGATTATAAATTATGCTGCTATAAAGACACGTGCACATGTATGTTTATTGCGGCACTATTCACAATAGCAAAGACTTGGAACTAACCCAAATGTCCGTCAATGATAGACTGGATTAAGAAAATGTGGCACATATACACCATGGAATACTATGCAGCCATAAAAAAGATGAGTTCATGTCCTTTGTAGGGACATGGATGAAGCTGGAAACCATCATTCTGAGCAAACTATCCCAAGGACAAAAAACCAAACACCACATGTTCTCACTCATAGGTGGGAATTGAACAATGAGAACACTTGGACACAGGAAGGGGAACATCACACCTCGGGGCCTGTCATGGGGTCACGGGGTGGGAGAAGGGGGGAGGGATAGCATTAGGAGATATACCTAATGTAAATGATGAGTTAATGGGTGCAGCACACCAACATGGCACATGGATACCTATGTAATAAACCTGCACGTTGTGCACATGTACCCTAGAACTTTAATAATAATAATAAAAAAAAAAGAAATTGAAAGATTGGAAATAAAAAAAAAAGGAACTACATCAATGAAAATGTCTTATAAACAGTGACATTTCTGGAACTTCCAGTACAAAGTTTATAGGGCTTTTACTACATCTATATTTTCTCAACTTCATTTAAAATTTATTTTTCAGTTTTTACTGTGTGTTTAATGCTGGAGTAAGAGCCACAAAAACAGTGTTAAAAAATGATACAGGAGATAGTCCCTGTGTCTGAAAAAGATACCACTTTCCCTTTCTGTCTTCTGCTGCCTGCTCCAATATGATGAGCCTGCCAGGACAGTTCCTTTTCCTAGGGTAAAGGGGTATCCTGTCCTTCTCCAGTTTCATCCCCTGCAAATCAGGGGATGGGGTATAAATCAGGTCAGCCCTGCTACCCTAATCTCTTCCTTGCCAGAGAATCCTGAATGAATCAAGTTCTTTTATCTCATTTGGCCTAATAATCAATGCAGGTATTTTCTATGGTAGATAAACTCAAAGAGGAGCCTTAGATTTGTCCAAATTTGTCATATATTATGCATGACACAGGAAGGCCTCTTGGGCAAATATTCAAAGTGACATTTAGGAACTGAAGTATAACTTGGGAGAGGCAGGTCTAAGGAAAGAACTGTGGTCATCCTCGACCTGTGTGCTGCAGAAACTAATATTATGATTGTAGCTGCCATTTTAGGCACAAATTCTGGAATTAGAGGATTTGATCTGTGCTACAAAAATTAACTGAATACCATATGGGATACAGACCACTTGTGCTTGGTATTTTATTTTTTGAATTTTTGTCCTGCCGTTGACTGGGAACAAAAAATCAGGTGTTCCTAGTCACGTTCCTTTGTATCTTGTTTTTTTTTTTTTTTTTTTTTTTTTTTTTTTGAGACGGAGTCTCGCTCTGTCACCCAGGCTGGAGTGCAGTGGCGGGATCTCGGCTCACTGCAAGCTCCGCCTCCCGGGTTCACGCCATTCTCCTGCCTCAGCCTCCCAAGTAGCTGGGACTACAGGCGCCCGCCACCACGCCCGGCTAATTTTTTGTATTTTTAGTAGAGACGGGGTTTCACCGTTTTAGCCGGGATGGTCTTGATCTCCTGACCTCGTGATCCGCCCGCCTCGGCCTCCCAAAGTGCTGGGATTACAGGCGTGAGCCACCGCGCCCGGCCTGTATCTTGTTTTTAACTTAATCTCAAATCAGGGACAATATTGTTGATCAGATAACCGCTGGCTTCATTGGCTTATCTCTAGATTCCTGAAGTCACCACTCCACACCCCACTTTCATCATCCTCTAAATATCTTTTGGTCTCCAGATCTCTCTGCATTGTTGATTATGACTGCCTTGGTCCTGGCCATGGTTTTCCAGGAGATACCTCATAAGGGTGGTGGAAGGACAGGGACTGAGAGGCCCTTATTATTGAAGCTGTGTCATCATCTTGAAGTGCAGAAACATCTCAGTGTAATTATTATTAAAGGGGGATTTTAAAAACCACAGCACTGTCTCCAGGAAATCAGGTTTCCTTGGAGATTTTGGAAGGAATAAAATCAGTTAAAAAATGGATTTGGGGTCGGGTGCAGTAGCTGATACCTGTAATTCCAAAACTTTGAGATATAAAGGTAGCAGAATTGCTTGAGATCAGGAGTTTGAGAGCAGCCTGGGCAACATAGAGAGACCCCCATCTTCCAATTTATTTTTAAAATTAACCAGGTGTGGTGGTGCACACTTGTAGTCCCATATACCCAGGAGGCTGAGGCAGGAGGATCACTCGAGCACAGGAGGTCAAGGCTGCAGTGAGCTGTGATTGCACCACTGCACTCCAGCCTGGGCAACAGAGCGAGACTCTATCTCCAAAAAAAAAAAATGATTATTAATGTCTACAGCTTTTAATTATGAATGTTTGTGCTATAACCTCCCTCACATCCAAAACCTTCACAGTAATCTATTTACCCCCAAAATGTCATGCTTTGGGAGGAAGAAGAAAACAATTGATTTCCATGTCTGGAGCAGGAGAAAGAAAATACCCACAAGAGGTGAGACACAAGCAAAATGAACTGTGAGGAGAAAATTCAGCAAGACAAATAATTTGCAGCCAGACATGACTATGAGAACATGAGACTCTCCGGTATTTTGCAAAAATCTTGGGGGAAAGCTAGGCATGTCTCACAGGATGTGGAATAAGGGCTCACGCCAATTTTCCTTAAATCTCAGAGGATTGGGTGACCTTAGGTGACTGCATTACAACTTTAGTTTGCTTGATGCAGAATGCCTGATGCTTATTGAGTTTTCTTTCTTTTTAGTAAGCTTCCTGCTGACCCATTGTGGTCAATACAATTCTGAGACCATCTTGGAACATTACTTCCTGGTGTGAATGTCAGAGGAGGCTCTGGAAGGGGCTGCTGATTCTAGACTGAGGGTTTTCCTTGAGGAATCCTGGTTGCATTAGAAGGACCCAGTGGAGGGTAGATAAATGCACTCTAGAATCTAGTCACCTGTTGGCAGACTCCAAATAAAGTGGACAAGGAGACCTCAGAATAACTAAGTTTATGGCAGTTGGCTGGAATGGTGTTTGAAAAAATAAATATCGCTTTCTGCCCTGGAATGTGCATTTCCTGTGTACTAGGTCATGACACTAAAGAAATTCTATTTATTTATGAGACGGAGTCCTGCTCTGTCGCCCAGGCTGGAGTGCAGTGGCACCATCTCGACTCACTGCAAGCTCTGTCTCCCGGGTTCACACCATTCTCCTGCCTCAGCCTCCCAAGTAGCTGGGATGACAGGCACCCGCCACCACACCCGGCTAATTTTTGTGTGTTTAGTAGAGACGGGGTTTCACCGTGTTAGCCAGGATGGTCTCAATCTCCAAGAAATTCTTTTATGTAAAACATTCCTATGCTGAGATCTCAGTGGTAAATGAAAAGGATGTGTGTTTGCAGAGGGTAATATCTGCTATTATTTTATAGGATCTAATGATGCCAGGTAGGTAAGTCCCACAGGAAATGTGATTGACATTCCTCAGGGGTCTTCTATGAGATTGATTAAACATGTTCGATTTTATTGAGGAGGTTATGAAACCTTTAGACATTCATTTCAGTCGGTTCATTTCGCCTAGCAATTAAAAGTTCCTCAAGAGTAAAAGGAGGTGAAACAAACTTTGGCTTAGGCCAAGAAGTCCTTCTTTGGAAATTTGTACTTATCTGTGTCTGTTCCTTTTTCTTCACAGTATAGATTAGCATGAGTCTTATCTCTATGGCAGTGCTGGGATATGCTGTTTTGTATTAATAAAATTAAGTTATATTAAAAAGAATAAAGTTCCTGAATATTGAGTGAGCCAAGTGCATGTTGACGTACCTTTAAAATGTGGCTCAGGGTAGGGCCAGGAAGATTTTAAAATTCAGAAGTAGTAGCTATTCAGAAGGTTGTTCTAGAACCACTGCCGGTAAAAACTCAAAGTGAAAGGTCTGATATATCACACATTGAACTTGAAAAACTATGTTTGGGGTAAAAAGGCAATCATTTCTTCATCTCACTTTCTCTCTCAAAAATACGCGTGTGCACACACACACACACACACACACGAACATACCACACGAGAACTCCCATGTTTTAGTGGCAAGAATTGTGATTGACTGTTCTGAGCAAGCAGGGTTAGTGCAGGCAGAAAGGTCTACTTCTTCATCTTCTCCTTTTTAAACACTGATGAAAAAAATAAATGATGAATTCATGCCTGAGCTATATTGCTGCTTTCCTCCCTCTTAAAGATAGCATAATGCATTTGGGCAGGTATAGTTCCAGGCATTAAATGACGCAGGAAAGGCAAGAGAGCCTGAGAGTTGAATTTACAAGGTATCATGTTGAAGCTAATACCTAGTGATAGAACCCAAAGAATTGCTCACTACTGGGATGAAATATGACATAGTGGGAGATAGGAATAGCAGGAGTATCAGGTCCACTGAGCCAGGTCCCTCTGATAGTTACCCTCCATGGGGACTTCTCAAACAACTGTCACATTGATTGTCCTATCAGACACTAAGGGATGAAAGCAACATTAGTAATAAATACCATAACCTGATGACCTATTATGTGTCAGCCTCGTGCTGAGTACTTCAAAAGTTTGTGTAACTGAATTCTTACCACCTTGTGGAACAGGAATTATTATTCCTGTTGGTCATAGCTAGACTGATCCTAAGCCAGGTGACATTACTTTTTCCTTTCTACTTGGCGTTATGGAAAGAAAACTGATTTAGAATAAGGAAGACTCATCATCTTTTACCAGCTCTGGGAGGTAGGAGAAGCACCCATACTTAATAAATTAGTGGAAGGACAACCTTGCTTGAATGTGAACGGAATTTGACTATGCCCCATGAACATGAAGGCGGCTATTCTAAAGAACAAACTTTAATCAGTGTGTTTTACGTGGTAGATGCAAGGGACATAGCAGGCACTCTCTGCTCCCCTTTGTCTTCTTTCTTTTTTTTTTAAATTATACTTTAAGTTTTAGGGTACATGTGCACATTGTGCAGGTTAGTTACATATGTATACATGTGCCATGCTGGTGCGCTGCACCCACTAACTTGTCATTTAGCCTTAGGTATATCTCCCGATGCTATCCCTCCCCCCTCCCCCCACCCCACAACAGTCCCCAGAGTGTGGTATTCCCCTTCCTGTGTCCATGTGATCTCATTGGTCAATTCCCACCTATAAGTGAGAATATGCGGTGTTTGGTTTTTTGTTCTTGCGATAGTTTACTGAGAATGATGATTTCCAATTTCATCCATGTCCCTACAAAGGACATGAACTCATCATTTTTTATGGCTGCATAGTATTCCATGGTGTATATGTGCCACATTTTCTTAATCCAGTCTATCATTGTTGGACATTTGGGTTGGTTCCAAGTCTTTGCTATTGTGAATAATGCTGCAATAAACATACATGTGCATGTGTCTTTATAGCGGCATGATTTATAGTCCTTTGGGTATATACCCAGTAATGGGATGGCTGGGTCAAATGGTCAGACTCCTGTTTTCTCAGCTGAGTGTTGGAGGGAGTGGGGGAATGCATGAGACTGGAAGGAGTCTGGGATTTTCACTGGAACAGATTGAAATTTGAGACTTGCTCTATTTACTTACTATAAAGATTTCTGCCAATTGTTTCAACTAACACAAACTCATAGGTAAATTGGGGTATTTAATTTAGACTAGAGATAATGTATATATACACAGTGCATGTTATATAGTAACACTGTACCCATGGAAGTTCTTTTTAGTTTTATTTTGTCCAAATACTTAAGGAAGTTCTCCAAAGGACTGTCCATGATGGTAGAATTAGAATACATTTGCATAAACCATTTACTATGGATTGAGAGTCTGTACGTTTATCCATGAGCTTCTCAACTCTACCTATATTTATTCTTCAGCCACTATCTTCACCTGGGGTAATCAGTTCCTTATCTTTTTACTTAATCTGTTAGGTGTGTTTCCTATGGCCTCTCCAAAACTAGATTACCACTGCTAGAATTTCAGTCTGGTCTGTGTCTGAGCTAGTCTTAGTTTTGTAATTCTATTCTTTCAAGTTTCATCGTTCCTGATGGCTAACATTTATTCTGTCCTCAGGAATCCCGGCCTTTTCCTCTTCTACCAGTAGGTTTTTCTGTGTGAAACAAGGACAAGATGAGGTTTGCTCATTAACATCCATACTAACTTATGCTTCTCCAGTCTTTGTCACTTGACGTTTGTTTACCAGGTCCTTTAAAACTGTCTTGTTACTGTTTCACTCAGCTGAAAATTTAGATGGACCTGGGTGATCAAACAGCTTTCCAGATTACCAGTCAAACACATCAGTTTTATTGGAAATGGCCTTTGAATTTTCAGTTATGATCTAGGTTTTTGGAATCTTTTCAGTTGTGCCCATATAAAAATGGAGTACTAGTACACAAACTTTTATGAGACATAATGTGAAAATGGGCATTGAGTGCTTGATGTCAGCTCAGCATATTGCAACACCTCCATCTGTCATTGTCAAATGTTGATCTGTTTCACATGGTAAGTGCACATACTTTAAAATATTAACTCTTAAATGGAAATAAATGTAAAGTGCATAATGCTCTTACATATGTTAATAGGATTTTTCTTCTGATTAGAAAACTAATGTATATACATGATAAGCAGTTTAAAGTAAAGCATATTAAAATAGTTATGTCAGTCATAACCCACTTCTTGGATATTATACTATCCATTGTTCCATACTTTTCTCTGTGCATTGAAATATTTTTAAAGGAGGGTCTTAAACACACATTTAAAAATCTATTTTTATCAGCTTTTTGAGGTATAATGTATATACAATAAACCCACCAATTTTTGAATGTATAATTTATAGAGTTACTAAATGCACATTTTTATAACCACCACCATAATCATGATATTGAACATTTTCATCACCCCAAATTATTTCTTATATCAATTTGCAATAAATTCCCTCCCACATCCCTGAACCTTGGCAACCACTGATCTTCATTTTTTTTTAAATTTTCATTCATTCTGGATTGCATATTACTGGTGTATAGTAATGTGTATATTAAAGAATTTTTTTGTGGATTTATCGGACTTTATGTAGATTTTTGTCATCTACAAATAGACATAATCTTACTTTTTTCCCCCAATTGAGATGCTTTTGTTTCTTTTTCTTGACTAATAGCTCTGACTAGAACTTCTAATACACCATGGAATAGTGGTGCTGAAAGCAGGCATTCTTGCCTTGTTTCCGATTCTTAGAAGGACATCTTTCAGTCTTCACTATTGAGTATGATATTACTTGTGGAATTTTTATAAAGTTCATCATATTGAGGAAGATCTCTTCTAATCCTAGTTTTCTGAGTGTTTTTGTCATGAAATAGTGTTGGATTCTGTCAAATGCTTTTCTGCATCAATTGTGGTGATCATGTTTGTTTTATCTGTTCTATTAATACCATAGTATTTACGTATTGTTAATTTTACATCATAGTAATTTAAGCTATAGGATATCAAAAGTAAACATCACTCAAAGACTTTACCCCCTCTTCTGGTGAAGAGGTTAGCGTGTTTCTGGTTGTCTACTGGATAGTTATATCATATTAGGCAGAATAATGATGTTATTGTCTTAATTAGAGATTAAGTGTGGTTTAGGGAGATCTATGTGCAGGGGATGCCAAATTGACAAAGGATAGAGTTATTGATTATTAACCTTATGTGTCAAATTGAGTGGGTCAAGAGATGCCCAGATATTTGGTTAAACATTATTTCTGAGTGTGTTTGGGAGGACATTTATGGATGTCCTCATTACCTAATGTCCTACCACAGGCCCTACCTCCTGATACTACCATGTTGGTGATTAGGTTTTAACATATAAATTTGGAGGGAGCATAAACTCTGAGACCATAGTACATACCGTAAACTTGGAATAATTATTTGTTTACTTAGGTCTTCTTCAGTTTCTCTAATCAATTACATTTTGTTAGGTATATACCCTAAATATTTTAATATTTTTGCTATTAGCATAGTTGTTAATTTTTTTCACCTTTATTATTAAACATTATATTCACTGCCTTTTTTTTTTTTTTTTAACTTTCAGTATTTTAAAGATGTCTCTCCATTGTCCTCTGGCATACATAGTTTCTGACCAAGAAACCTATGGCAATTCTTACTTTTATTCCCTTCATGTTGTGCGTTTTGACCATAGATTCCTTTAAGAGTCTTCTCTTCATCACTGGTGTTGAGCAATTTGATTATGAAGTACCATTGCATGATCGTACAGGTTCACTGAGTTTTTGGATTTGAATGTTTATAATTTTTATCAAATTTAGAGAATAACTGACCATTATTCTTTCAACTATTTTTTTTTTGTCTCTCTCCCTTCAATTCCCTTCCTACTCTTCTGGGATTCCATTGATGGTTATGAGAC
The DNA here is from genome assembly GCF_000001405.40 of Homo sapiens. Taxonomy (NCBI): domain Eukaryota; kingdom Metazoa; phylum Chordata; class Mammalia; order Primates; family Hominidae; genus Homo; species Homo sapiens. The sequence continues at coordinate 114,640 of NT_187615.1, read as the reverse complement.
TACTTCTGTCTTTTTCCTGTCTGATATTGGATTGTTTTTGTTGCTATGGTTTCAAGTTCCCTTTTTTAACCTTCGGTGTTTAATATGCTATTAATACCACCCCATGTATTTTAGAGATAGACTTAACTATTTTAAAAACAGCTTTAGGCCGGGCATAGTGGCTCACGCCTGTAATCCCAGCACTTTGGAAGGCTGAGGTGGGCGGATCACCTGAGGTCAGGAGTTCGAGACCAGCCTGGTGAACATGGTAAAACCGCATCTCTACTAAAAATACAAAAACTAGCCAGGTGTGGTGGCGCATGCCTGTAGTCCCAGCTACTGGGGAGGCTGAGGTGGGAGAATCTCTTGAACCCAGGAGGGAGAGGTTGCAGTGAGCCGAGATGGTGCCATTGCACTCTAGCCTCTCCAAAAAGCGTGAAACTCTGTCTCAAAAACAAACAAGAAACAGCAACAACAACAAAAAAACAAAAAACAGTTTTAGATATACAGAAAATTTGTGAAGATAATATACAGAGCTCTCATATACCACAAATCTAGTTTTACTGATTATAAACATCCATCTTATATTCATAGGGTACATCTGCTAGAATTAATAACCAATGTTGATATATTATTATTAACCAATGTCCATACTTTATTCAGATTTTCTGTTTTTACCTAATGTCCTTTTTCTGTTCTAGGATGCCATCGAAGATATTACATTACATTTAGTTGTTATATATTTACAGGCTCCTCTTGGCTATCAGAGATTGTCAGACTTTGCTTGTTTTTGAGTACCAGGATGGTTTTGAAGAGTACTGGTCACATATTTTGTAGAATTCCCCTTATGAGAATTTGTCAACTCTTGTTCTCATCATTTACATTAAGGTTTATGGGTTTTGGGGAAAAATCCCTCAGAGACAAAGTGTCATTTTTATCATATCATATCAAGAGTACATACTATCAACATAATTTATTGTTGTTGGTGTTGACTTTGACCATCCTACTAGGGTAGCATTTGATAGGTTGCTCCAATATAAAATTATTCCTTTTTCCCTTTTCCATACTGTATTCTTTAGAATAATGTCACTATGTGCAGCCCACATTTAAGCAGTGAGGTTATTTTCCCTCCTTGTGGTGGACTATCTACCTAAATTATTTGAAATTTTTGTTTTTGGGAGATCTGCCTATTTTCCCCACTCCATATATTTATTTATTTAATAATTTATTTATATCAGTATGGACTCATGGATATTCATTTTATTTTTTTGTGCTATAATCAATACTATTTATTTTACTACTCACATTAATTCAGGTTTGGCCACTGAGAACTCTTTGAGTTGGTTCTTGTGCCCCTTTGACATACCCCAATCAATTTCTTTTTTTCCTTTGTACTTCCTTACTTTCTGCCATAAAGAAATATTCCAAGATCATCTTGTATATTTTCTATCTCAGTCATAGAACCAGCCATTTCTCCAAGGAGCCCTAGTTTCTTTTATTGAAGTATGATATTAGAAACAAGATATGGGGCCTAGGTATGCGTTTTCATCCAAAGTATTTTTAATTTCGATTTTTTTTTTTAAATTCTCTAGGAGTTCCCTTTGGGTCCTTTTTATATTTCACATGTTTTCCCTCATAATGATATGTTTCCTTTACATTCTTGAATATACAGAGTCATCTTTTGTTTTGTTTCGTTTTGTTTTGGAGACAGAGTCTCACTCTGTCGCTCAGGCTGGAGTGCAGTGGCGCCATCTCGGCTCACTGCAAGCTCCGTCTGCTGGGTTCATCCCATTCTCCTGCCTCAGCCTCCCAAGTAGCTGGGACTACAGGCGCCCGCCACTACGCCCAGCTAGTTTTTTATGTGTTTTTAGTAGAGACGGGGTTTCACCGTGTTAGCCAGGATGGTCTCGATCTCTTAACCTGGTGATCCGCCCGGCTCGGCCTCCCAAAGTGCTGGGATTACAGGCGTGAGCCACCGTGCCTGGCCCAGATCATCTTTATAATAGCTGTTTAATTCCCTGAATCTCTCTACTCTGGCTTATGGGAACATGTACTATTCTCTGCTATGTGTGGACTCTGAGAATGGTTCTTCCTACTCTATTCCAATATCTCTTGTCTATGGCATTTGTCATTTTCTCTCACATATGCACAGATTCATAATTAGCAAACTCTTGAGGGGACCCCTCTGTACCAGTGCGTTCTCTCTCTCTCTCTCTTTCTCTTTCTCTCTTTCTTTCCTTCCAGCTCCCTCATTACTTCCTTGGCCACCTTGATTTGTATTCTCTGTTCTCTTCAGTCAGTGAGACTATTGGCTCTCTATAGGTTCCCTCTCTCTGCAGTGCAGTCTGGAAACTACCTTCAAGCAGTAAGCTGGGACCATTTCAGGGCTCACTGTGCTTTTTCCTGATCTCAAGGATTGTGGTGCTGTGAGGCCAGTTGTTCAGTGTCTAAAACGCTTGTCTCACATGTTTTGTCTGATATTATTGTTGCTTATTATGAGAGGGTAAATCCAGTCCTTGTTATTCCAAACTCACTGGAAGAAATAGTCTAATAAACTATTTTAAATGTCAATACAAATTACGAGCATTTTCCATGTTATTAAATATTTTTGTGAAATATGATTTTAATTACTGTATATATTTCCATCATACACCTGGTTCAACTATTTCCTCATTTGGTCTTAGCCTCTGAACTTCAGTTATGGTGTTTTTCATAAGCAAAAATTCATATGTATATAAATATAGCAACCTTTACTTAATGGTTTCAGATTTTGCATTTATTATTGTAATGGCAAGAAAAATATTTGCTTGCTCCTTTTATTCTGGTTATTTTGTGAGTGTACTTTCTACATTAAACTCATGAACCTATCTGGAATTTATTTTCATATTTGATATGAGGAACTGGTCTATATATTTCTTAAGTAATAAAAATGAGAATATGAAAAGAAGCATTGAAACAATAAAAATCACATTAAAACCCCATATTCTTTTTCCTCCCCTTCTGGAACTCCAGTAACATTCATTTAGACCATTTTGCTTTGTATCCCACATGTCTTCTACGCTCCTCAATATCTTTTTTCTTGTAATTTTATTTTTCTCTCTGCACTTTGATCTGGCAATTTTTGCTGATCTACTTTTTATTTTACTAATCTTCACTTCTGCTGTATTGCATCAGCTCTTGAACCCATCTGTTGAATTGTATATTTTTATTGCTTTTTTCTTGCTACAATTCAAGGAAAGCTTGGTTCATTTTTCTTATATTTCAGCTCTCCAGTTAGATGCTTCATCTTACTATCTATTCTCTTGAACATACTAATCATAGTTATTATAGAGCAGGAAACTGACGATTCAAAAACCTGGATTACCAAAATGCTTATTTAGTCTTTTTTTTCCTCTTTTTTCTTATGGTCATTTGGTCACATTTCCTGGCATTTCTGATAATTTTGGGTTAAATGCTGGACATTTTACATTAAAAAGCATAGAGGCTCTAGATTAATTCCAACAAAGTGGATGTGATTTTCCAGTTGTGAGAAAATAGATCTAGGAAGATAGCCTTGATCCAGTTAGGCATTGAGGCTTCGTTTCATGTTTTATGAAGACTCTTTCCCTGTTGCCCTCACTTGTGCGGCATAGTCTTACAACGTTTCCAACTGAACACGTGACATTTCCAGGATCCATCCTCCACTGGCCACTTGTGAGGCTCTTTATCCTGATTTCCAAAGTCCTATATCCTCTGCCTCTGCCTGTGCCCTGACCATATCTTTACCATTCTCCCTCTCTACTCTTTTTGCTATGATCTCACTATCCTTTTGTTGCTGCTGCTGTTGCGTGGACACACAGGCTTATTTTTATCTTAGGTTTATTGTAAAAGCTCTCTGTTCTATCCAGCATGGTCTTCCTCATAGCATGACTGTTCCCCATGTGTTCAGATCTCACCAATGCCACATCTGCGGAGCACCCTTACCCCTCAGTGTTATCTATCTCATCAACCTAACTTTCTTCATACAATTTTAAAATCACATGATTTTTCTTTCTCTTTGTTATTTTTATAGTTTTCTGTATGTTTCCTGAAGTAGAATGTAAACTATGAAAACTGGGACCTTGTCTGTTTTGTTTGCCGCTTTGGTCCCTGCATTTAGAACTTCCCTGTCCAATACCATTGCTAGTAGCCACAGCTGGCTATTGAGCATTTGAAACATAAATAGTCAAAATTAACACGTAAGTGTAAAATACACATCCGATTTTGGCAACTTAATTTGAATAAAAGTAATGTAAACTACCATATTAATAACTTGTATATTGTATTGAAATTATAATATTTTTGTTTGAATAAAATATATTAAAATTAACTTCACCTGTCTAAAACCATTTTTAATGAGGCTAATGCAATTAAAAATGCATGTGTAGCTCACATTTGTGATCTGCATTTGTTTCTGTTAGATAACATTGATCTGTGATAATTACCAGCCAAGGAAAAGTCACCAGTTTTATTTAGCCTTATTTTCTTATTTAAGAAAAGAAAAATGCAATCTGTTAAAAAATATAATATTTTTCTCTTAGTCCAAATTTCTGCACTCTTATAAAACAAATGATGACTATTAAGGGTATAGGTTTGTTTTTGCTGCTTTAAGTGGTGCTAGACTTCAATGTTTTTGTTAGAGGTTTTGATTTTTTTTCTTTAACTGTTTAGCTTTTCTGCATTTTTCGTGTTTGAGGGTATTGACTATCAACTCTTGCTTTTTGCAATGCAAGCTTTTTATGAAATTAGCCCTTTCCTAATTATTACCACTAACCTTCCACGTGTTATGTAACTTTAAAACAAAGGTGTTTGGATGTGCACCTCAAGAACAACTTGGTACTGTGTAGACAAGGGATTCTACAAAGAGTAAAGTATTCGAAGCATCACGACATTTATTTTGGTTAGCTAGAGGTTGTTTCATCCTTTATTTTGTTGAAACCTTTGGCCTTTGTTTTCTAGACAATATACTAGTAGGCTAAGAACCCCAAAATAAGGGGAGAGGTATAACTCTTATGTAAGAAGGAATGTAATGATTAATTTATTCTTCATGAGTCCATTTCCTTCAAGATATGAACCTGTTTTTGAATTTTGTTTAGTTGAAAACTTCTCAATTGGGATTTGATAAACTATGTGGAATTACTGATTATCCCAAGCAATTTTCTGTTCTGGAAACATGATTCATTGTGCAGACATTTACAGAAACAGTTATACTTGCAAATATCCACATGCATTGACAGATATATACATGAAAATTAAGGTATGTTTTTAGAAGGCAACTTAAACACCTAACAGTTTAGGGAAAGGCAGTGGAACATATGAGCTGTGATTTTATTTTTCTTAAGATTTTTCAGGAAATGGAAAATAATGGCAAATCACACCCATCAAGTTCCAGTAACTCAAAACGTTTATTCTCAGTCTACAAGGGACTAAAACAAGACCTTTTTTTCTTGGAATGACATTTAGCTGCTCTGGTCTTGTAAGAACAGCTAAGCTTTTCCTTCTTATTTTCTCTCTAATGAGAAAGTGGTACCTGGTTTTTAGACTAATTTGGTTTTGAATAGCTGCTTGGTCATATGCTGTGTGGCAGTAATATGACTTTTCCTACCTGGGGAAAGGATGAAGTTGGAAATACTCTTAGTCACAAATTATAAAATTCATTTGCTGGTTCATAGATAATTATCGCAATGTCTGCTAAACATTTAAAAGCTATAAATATTTCCCAAACTATTTATGAGGACTTTATGCAAGCAAAAATGGGGCTTGATGATTGGGTAAGAAAATATTTTCCCACTATTTAAAAATTCTAGTTTGTCCCACACAGTGAAATGTCGAAGATTGTAAAAACAGTATCTATTTAACAACACTGTACAATTTTAATCTTTAAAAAGAGGCTCAGATTTTGATTAAGGCAAGGGTTGGGTGAGTTCTGATTTGAATTGGGAAAATACAACCCAATTAGAAAAAGTCTCAAAGGAAGGTGTGAAATAATTGGAAGTTTGAAATAACAAATCAAGTCCAGGAGGCTGTGCAAAGAGTTAGTCTTTAGCAAGACCACAAATTATCAGGGTATCAAAATATCAGTTCAGGGCGCTAAAACTGTTTAAGATGAAATAACTTGAAGGCAAAGCCTTCAAGAGCAGGGGGAAAAAGTCTGTAACTTGAAAACTAATTGCTTTCAATTCATGGTTTAGAAGGCTGGCTGACCACATTTACCAGCCAAAAGCTCCACTTTTCTAACAAGAAACAAAACTCTCTCTTTTTGAGATTACCTCTATAAGCTATATAGATTAAATATGGCCATGCTTTGCTACTTTTAAGTTAAACATATAGATTTGGTGTTTCTGAGCAAAGACATAGGATCTTAGGACTAGTCTTCTTAGTCTCAAAGTTCTGGGTCATTCTTTTTACAACTTATTCCCCAAATACCTCTCTTTTCAGAATTTACAGAGGTAATCGAAGAAACTGTTACGTTGTTGTTTTGAATATATCATGAATGATTACTGTCATTTTTTACTGTCTAATGCCTTGCCATAACTATAAAGGACCTTCTTCAAATCTATCTGTTTAAAAATCAGTTAAGTCCTTGTTTTTAGATTATCTTCCATAAGAGTTCTGCAGGATTGGCACAGAGAGAAAACTCTTCAGAAAGACTTTCTTCTTAATCCCTGAGCGTGTTCTGTCTGGAGGGAATGTGTGTAGCTGCAGATCACAGAATACCCTACCAACAGTGGCTTTGTTCTCACATCACTAGAAAGTGGGGTTGATCCAGTGGCTCCATAAAAAGCACTAAACACCCACACTCCTTTCCTTTTTCTGCCCCACCATACTAAAACATCCTTCTTTTTGCCTCTTGGTCATAACATGGCTTCTGAAGATACAGACAAAGGGAAAGAGGGCAAGTTAATCAGCCCCACTTACTAGTTCATGAACTTTACCAATGAGTTCCCCTTATGTCTCTCTTTTTTTTTTTTTTTGAGATAGAGTCTTGCTCTTTCACTCAGGCTGGAGTGCAGCGGCTCAATCTCGGCTCACTGTAACCTCCACCTGCTGGGTTCAAGTGATTCTCCTGCCTCAGTCTCCCAAGTAGCTGGGATGACAGGTGCATGCCACCACGCCTGGCTAATTTTTGTATTTTTCAAGGTTTCACCATGTTGGCCAGGCTGGTCTCGAACTCCTGACTTCAGGTGATTCACCCTCCCTGGCCTCCCACAGTGCTGAGATTAAAGGTGTGAGCCACCACGCTCCGCCCCCATTGTGTTTCTTTGAGAACACTGGACCACATGGCCACCTAGCTGGGAAGGAGTTGGTTAATTAGGAACAAGAGTGAAGAGCCACCTTAGGGCAAAATGCCTACCTTTGCACACTTGCCATCCAGACTAAAATCAGGCTATGCTAGCAAGGGAGAAAGGAACAATGAACACTTGGAGGATACTCCCAACTATATTGTAAAAGTTGTCTGTCAAACATAATGGTAAAATGATGTATTGATTAAGTCTTAAGGATTTCAAATTGATAAAAAATTTTAAAGTAGGATTTATAACTCTCAGGTCTTCTATTGCCTAGAATCCCTTTAATATTTAGACATTTGGGTATATATAGGATGGCCTTTTGCATAATCCCCTAAAGTCTTCTTAAAGAGAAATACATTGAGAAAGAACCTGTCAAATAATCCTATCCCTTATAATCCCCGCCTGCTTCAAGCTAACCCTCTTGATGTTTCCATGCTTAGAAATAGTAATCAAGAAAGCAACAATGTTTCCCACACCCCTAAATCATTGAAAACCCAATAGGACTATGCCTGGGCACATAAGGTATTATAGAACTAGCCTTTCACAAATGTTATCAGGAAAAGTGATCCCAGAATTGTGGAAGACCCTTCTGTTTTTATAACCACTGTGCTTTTCTCACATTTTTATGAAGAGTTTTTCTCTTTGTTCTATTTTTTATTGCACATTTACTCATAAGTCTCTAAGTTCCCAAGCGATGAAATAACAGATTTGTAACTAACTAAAAAAATGTGTTCTATCACATCCCACCAGAAAGCTCAGTATCATTCTTTCTGGTTAGCAGGCCGTAGTGGACAGATAAGCCAGAGAACATTAGAAAAATATGGCCGTAACCTACTATATACTTTTCCAAGTCTACACTAGACCATGTGACATAAAGATAAATATTGCAACATCATGGAAAAAGTGCATGGATAGATTCAAGTATAAGGTAAGATGATTGCATTGTAGAGAAAGTCATTCTTTTGGGTTAGTTTGGTCAACAAAAGTTTTTACAGAGGATGACAAACCTGAACTGCTTTTGAAAGATTATTAAATGTGTTAGGTGAATGAAAAAGTTAAGGAGGAAATTTGCAGGTGTAAAGAAGTGAGACTATAAGGATGTGACATTCCATGGTAAAAGTTGGGAATTGAAAGTATTCTGCAATAGCCGAAACTCAGGGCACATGGTAAAGAGTTATTTAAGTTAGATTATTATATGATTTGGCTGTTTCCCCATCCAAATCTCATCTTGAATTGTAGCTCTCATAATTCCCACGTGTCATGGGAGGGACCTAGTGGGAGGCAATTGAATCATGGGGGTGGGTTTTTCCCATGCTATTCTCTTGTTAGTGAATAAGTCTCGTGAGATCTGATGGTTTTATAAAGGACAGTTCCCCTGCACACACACTCTTGCCTGCCCCCATGTAAGATGTGCCTTTGCTCCTCCTTTGCGTTCTTCCATGATTGTGAGGCCTCCCTAGCCATGTGCAACTGTGAGTCCATTAAACCTCTTTTTCTTTATAAATTACCCAGTCTCCCGTATTTCTTCATAGCAGTATGAAAATGGACTAATACATATGAACATGTGTATGTGGAATTATAATAGAATAAAGAGAGACCATGAAGAACATTAGTCATCATATCAATGCAGTTTGACAATATCCTGTAGATATTAAAGGAGCCACCAAAGGGTTTTCTCTAGAGCCTTAATATAATAATATTCTGGTGAAATAAGAACAGTGTGAAGACCAAGGCATAGAACCACAAGCTCCACATATTTCAATCATCTAAGAATGAGATGATTAGTCTCTGGGTTAGGGAAGTAACCTGGCAATGGGGAAGAACAAAGTGGCATAAGATAAAAATGGAAGTTAAAATCAAGAGTTTTGAGGCAGATGGAGTATGAGATTTGGAGGGATTAATTCTCTTTTCTGGTTTCCATTCCTACAACCTTCTGATAGTTTGTTGTCAGAACAATCATCTTGTTTCCACACCCTTTTTTGGATGAAGCTCACACTTTTTGGAATGTCCTTATGTTATTATCTTGACATGTTAAAATGCCAAATGGATTTCAAAGGCTTGTCCAGTGACATTGCTTCTATGACATTTACCTGAAACTTTTGGAATTGCTCTCTCCCTTCGACATACTAGAGATATTCCTTGTATTTTTTTTTTTTTTTTGAGATGGTGTCTTGCTTTGTCACCAGGCTGGAGTGCAGTGGCACCATCTTGGCTCACTGCAACCTCTGCCTCTCGGGTTCAAGCGATTCTCCTGCCTCAGTCTCCCAAGTAGCTGGGACTACAGGTGTGTGCCACCACGCCCAGCTAAATTTTTTATTTTTAGTAGAGATACGGGGTTTCACCATGTTAGCCAGGACGGTCTTGATCTCTTGACCTTGTGATCTCCTGCCTTGGCCTCCCAAAGTGCTGGGATTACAGGCATGAGCCACCACACCCGGCCTATTCCTTGTATCTTTATGGTAACGTTTATCACATTCTATTTTGTTTTACAGGTGTTTCCCGCCCCTGCAAAGAATATGTTCTGCTACTGTCTATTCTGGCTAAACTATGCCAGAAAGCTAGGATGAAATGAGACCTTACCTTTATTTGAGTCTTTCACATCCTTGAGTAGAATAAATTGTCACAGAAAATACTCAGGGATTTTATTAATTGAATGAATGCCCTCATGATAGAATTTACCAACTAGAAAGTTTTAATCAAACAATATAAAATGTCTGGTTAAAGATAGAAACATAACTTGCTATATAAAGTAAGATGCACATACTACAACTGTTTATTAGCTTTAATTACAGAGACTTCAATAGTCACATTAAAAATAACTATAATGAAAAGAAAGAATAACTTCCTCAAAAAATTTATTTTTATTTATTTTACTATTTTACCTGTTTTCTAACATTTGAGATCCCAAAATAAGTACAAGGAAGCAGAGGAAAGAGAAGCTACTTGGCCTATGCTCAAATGTCAAGTTGTCTCAAATGCAAATGAGCATGAACAGAGCCCCTCCTGGCCCCATGGGAAGGGGGTGGCAGCCTTTGCACCTCCTACACCATCACGCAACCCAGTATGTACCCCCAGACCCAAAGCATAACAGAAATGGTGCCAGCCTTAATAGAAATTGTACTGTGAGTCAGTCAGTATGAAAAAGAAAATAGAATTTTCTTTACGGGTTGCACTCTGGACCCTGAAGCACTTTGTATAATGAAAAGAAAACTGAAAAACAAGCAAAAAACCCCAGAAAACTGAAAAAACGATAGCAAAAGATTACTTAATAAATGGTATTGGGAATAAATACTGGGTAGCTTCCAGGGTGAAAATTGGATCACACCAGGCCTCTTAGCCAAAAAGACACCCAAAAATCAAAATTTGAATGTAAATAGATATGTATCAGCATAGAAAATAAAACATGGAATCATTTTATATCAATTATTTTTGAGTGGGAAGTCTTTCCTAATATATAAATTTCATAAAATTTAAAATATAAAAAGGTCAACAATTTGATTACATAAAAATTATAAAAACTTCTTATAAAAATACCATAAATAAAGTCCAATGTCAAGTCGAAAATTGGGAAAATATGTTTGTAAAGCATGTCAGAGACAAAGGCTTAATTTCTGTAATACATTCATACTTCCTGTGAATATATAAAATCTATAAGAAATGTGAAATCAGTAAGAAAATATATTTGCATTTTCTTTTATGTGCATTATCTTTTAATATCCTTTGCCCATTTTCCTGGGCTATTTTTCTAATTATTATTGTACAGCTATGTCTGATATGAGGTTTGGTACATCACTTACAATAGCAAAGTATTGAAAATAATTAAAATATCTATAAATGGGACTGGCTAAATAAATTATGACACATTCATATAGTAAAATAAGTAAAATAAGACTGTAAGAAAATAATTGGGCAAACTAATTTTTATTGATGTCCATGATATATTGTTAAGTGAAAAAAAGTTGCAGAAATGTGTGTATGTTTGTGTGTGTGTGTTTATAGTATGTGCTACATTTGTGTAGAAAAATATCTAGTCACATTTGCATCCAAATGCTTATCTCTGAAAAAGCACAGAGTAAAATGGTAACGACTGTTGCTATTGGGCAAAGAAACTGTTGCCACAGGGACTTTTCAGGAAGAAGAGAATTGGGTGAGACCACCCATAATCAAACACCTTAGCAATGTTGCAACTATACATATGAATATGCACCTTAAGTGAAATAGACTAGACCATCAATAACTTTCTATCCATTTAGGTCAGATTTTACCAACAAAGTTTGTCGAAAAGTTACAACATATCCTATTATTTCAGGAATAAAATTTGATTTTGGAATGAAATTGGATTTTTAGAATATATAAGAGAACTAGAGTGAACTAGAAAGCTGTAATAATTTGGTTTTAATTGAATAGCAAAATATTAAACATATTCAGTAGTCAGAATATGGTTGAATAAGTCAAGGATGAATTCCAGAGAAAGTGATGATTGAGGCCATTTTGACTCTAAATAACATGCTGCTTATTACAGTAGCTACATGTTGTCCACTAAAATGAATGATAACATGGCTTGGTGATGAAAAAAAGCAATATGAAAGCAAAAAGATTGTCCCAGTGGCTTGTTAGAAAAGGTGGCTTATCCATTAATAAACCCAACCAAGGGATAATTTCAAAAGTTTAATTAGATTTATTTTTTATTACTCTGAATAGAGATTTTTTTCAAAGTCATACGGTTTATCAAGGCCTGATTCTTGGAACCAGTGAAAGAACACAATTGAAGAGGAAGAAATGAGAGAAAGGAACCAATTCTTTCATTTCACAAATATATATTGAGTGTTTATTCTTTCCAGCCACTGATCTGTGTTCCAGGATTAAAAACACACAGAGACCTTGCCTTCATAAAGCTTACAAAAATAACGAATACAGAAGGTAATTTCAGGTACTCTAAGTGCTGTAGTAAAACAGTGCAGCAAGGTAATTGGGAATGATGGTGGGAATGGTGGCTACCTCCACAGGATGATTAAAGGCTCTCTGAGAAGAGCCCAGGCTTGATGTATTGAGAGAACCAGTTATGTGAAGATCTAGGAAGAATGTTCCAGGCAGAATGCACAGTAAGTTCAAAAGATCTGACGCAAAGAATGGCCATAATCAAAAAATCAAAAAAATAATAGATGTTGGTGAGGATGTGGTAAACAGGGAACACTTCTACACTGCTGGTGAGAATGTAAACTAGTACAGCCAGTATGGAAAACAGTGTGGAGATTCCTTAAAGAACCAGAAGTAGAACTACCATTTGATCCAGTAATCCCACTACTAGGTATCTACCCAGAGGAAAAGAAGTAATTATAGGAAAAAGATACTTGCACACGCATGTTTATAGCAGCATAATTCACAATTGCAAAAGTATAGAACCAGCCCAAATGCCCATCAATCAATAAGCAGATACAGAAATTGTGTTCTCTTCAATTCTATCCTGCCTTACTCTGAAGCAGGCATGACTGTCTTCTGGTTCCTCGAACTTACTAGTGTGTTTATTCTGGCATCAGATCTTTTTTTTTTCCCCGTAGGTCTCCAATTCCATCCAGGTTGCTACGAATGTCATTTCATGCCTTTTTATGGCTGAACAGTATTCCATGGTATATATATATATAACATATATCATATTATATTTTATATAATATTATATATTATACAATTGCAGTATATAATATATATTATATATCATATATCATATATCTATTATATAAATATATTAAATATGTATTATATAGTTTAATATATAATTTATTTATATATTAAAAACATATTTTAATATGTATGTAAAAGATATTTAAAATTATATATAAAATATATTTAAAATTATATGTATAATATATATAAATATAATTATATAATATAATATATAAATATATTAAATATATTTTATATAGAATAAGTTATATATTCTATAGTATATTATATATATATATATATATATAATATATACCATGGAATACTATTCAGCCATAAAAAGGCATGAAATGATATTCATAGCAACCTGGGTGGAATTGGAGACCAGTATTCTGAGTGAAGTAACTCAGGAATGAAAAACCAAACATCGTATGTTCTCACTCATAAGTGGGAGCTAAGCTATGAGGATTCAAAGGCATAAAAATAATACAATGGACTTTGGGGACACCGGGGAAAGGGTGGGAAGAAAGTGAGGGATAAAAGACTACAAATTGGGTACAATGTGTACTGTTCGGGTGATGGGTTCACCAAAATCTCACAAATCACCACGAAAGAATGTGCTCGTGTGACCAAACACCACCTGTTCCTCAAAAACCTATGGAAATTAAAAAAAAAGAAAAGATCTGATGCAAGAATAAACCACTGGTAAGTTCGAGGAACAGGAAGACAGCCATGCCTGCTTCAGAGTCAGGCAGGATAGAATTGAAGAGAAATGAGGTTGATCATATATGGCCTTTGAGGTCAGGGGAGGGAATTTGGATTTTGTTTTAAATAGTATGGAAGCTTTTGAAGGGTCTTGAACAAGGGAGTGACTTGATCTGGTTCTTGTTCTTAAAATGTAATTTTGGCTCTTTGTAGGAAAAGAATTGTAGGTAAGAGTGAAGGCAAAATATAAGTTGGAGTCTTGTGGTAACACAAGTAAGAAAATCCTGAGAATTCTAGTGCTGGATGTGATTAGCTGAGTTGGGCTGTATTTTGAAGTTTGGAAAATATGTTTCATTAATGGACTTGATATGAGATAAGAAATAAGAGAGGAATCAAGGGTAATATGCAGACTTGTTACTTGATTAAATTGAGTGGACTGTGATCTGCACTACTAATAGGAATGACTGGGAAAAGGGCAGATGCAGAGGGGAAAAAAGCATAAGTTTTGGTCAGGTTAAAGTAGGAAGCTTCCTGGATGCCTCTCACACATTCACATATTGGTGTTAATTGTACAGAGGGCAGACAACTCAGACCTGGGAATGCTAATACAGAAGTCATAAGCATACATAGGGAATTTAAGCCACAGGATTGTATAAAATCACCTAGTGAGGAAATACATAGAGAAAATAACAGTGGACAAAATTTATGTTGAGAAAGAGGAGGGAGGTAAAGAAGAACATTGATGAAATAGAAAATCAGGTGTCATAGAAGTCAAAGGAAAGACCACTCAACGGTACCAAACCTGTCAGAAGTTGAGTAAAATGGGACAGAAAGTTGGCCACTAGATTTGGCAACACGAGTCTTATTCTTGACCCCAGTAAGAGCTATTTTAGTAGAGTGATATTGATAATAGTTAATCGCAGTTGATTGAGGAAAGTGAAAAAGGTGATGGGGAAGAGACAACACAAATATACAACAAGTTAATGAGTTTACGTCTGAAAGGGAGCAGAGAAATAGGGCAGAGGCTTGAGAAAAGACACCTAATATTATGACATCCTAAGTCCACTGTGAAAATGTCTTGCAAGTTATAGAATAATTAGAAAATTATATATTTTTAATATGACTTCTTATAGGATGTCTGTGTAGGTGTGTGTTCATTCATGAATACGGATACTTCAGTTCATATATCCTAGGAAGAATAAGAAAGTGCCTTTGAAATTCACTCTGATGGGATGACTTTGAGGGGATGTGGCCTGAAGTTCCTATGCCCTTTGAGACTGCTGCTCTAGGTTTGGGATGTCTAGCCCGTCTACATGCCCCATCTGTTTTCTGGGACTTAGAAAACCAATGGTGAACATAGCTGTTCCTTTGTATATTTTGACTTCTTTCCTGACCCCAATTATTTCTTTTCTTTTTGAGACAGAGTCTTGCTCTGTCACCCCGGCTGGAGTGCAGTGGCATGATCTTGGCTCACTGCAACCTCCCGTCTCCTGGGATCAAGTGATTCTTGTGCCTCAGCCTCCTGAAGAGCTGGAATTACAGGCGTGCAGTCACCATGCCTGGCTAATTTTTGCATTTTTAGTAGAGACAGGGTTTCACCATGTTGGCCAGGCTGGTCTCGAACTCCTGGCCTCATGTGATCCACCTGCCTCAGCCTCCCAAAGTGCTGGGATTACAAGCATGAGCCACCACTTTCACCTTCCTGACCCCAATTATAAAACAAGAGTGTTATTTTTGATTTTTGTTCCAGTTAAAATAGCTCAGTCTTGGGTAAAAATAATTTGGGTGAAGTGGTGGGAATGAACCCTGGGAGAAAACCAACTCAAGTGCATAGGTAAAACTTTTGAATGGTGGTCATAAAGACACACAGCAGAGTTTAGAAAAAAGATTTTTCACAAGAATGCTCAGACCCTATGAATAGGTATGAGAAGTTCAAAAGCAGGGATGTAGATGAAGAACTCTACAAAATGTGTGACTTCTTGGTTACATTTTCCTTATAATATATTTATAAAATAGCAGGGGAAAATTGGCACTAAGTTGTGATTTCTATTTATTGCAACCATTTATTAAAGTTGATCATGTCTCATGTGATTTGTGTCACTGCAGCAGTAGGATAGGGAAGAAGGCTCTGGGGCAGTGAACAGGGTCATAGTCTTCTCTTGCTTCCTTTTCCACTGATGCTCAGATCAAGTGAGAATAGTCAACGGAAAGGCCAGTGGTGAGGAATAAATTTGTTAGTGTGGGGAAGAAAAGTGTGAAAAGGAACATGCTTTGTTGAGGAGCACATACTATGAGAATGACAGAAGACTACTTCTGAGATGAGCTATCCCTTTTTCCCCAAATAGAATAAAGAGAAAGTGGCAATTTCCAAGTGAAATGAAAACTGACATTGAGATTAATTATCAAGACCTCTTATCAGATCAGTGATTAGCATGAGTTAATCAGCAGCAAGGCCTGATGACCTTTGTTCTCTTTGGGGGCATGTTGACTTAGATTTGGGTTCTGGCTCATCAAACATTTACCATTTACCAGAACAATGGCCATATATGTTCAAAGTTCATAGTGTTGCCTGCGCTCGAATTGAACATGCAAGTAGATGAGCTTTATCCTACTTCCCATTCACAATTGCCAGGGTTTACTTCTAAAGATCTTCCACTTCAGGAAGGGCAGCAGAAAACGTACACTGGGTTCTTCACAGGCAACACTGGAGCACAGATTGCACTGTCTTCCTTTTCTTGGTTAAACAAGACCTCTGTTGACACTTGAATTAAGCATGATTTTCTCCAGTTGAAAATGTGAGATTCAGACAATTTAGCAGTAGACTGGTGCTGTGTTTGCCTAGTACCCTGTGACGTGTTCACTATGAAAGGCCAGCACACAGCACCTGAAATTCATAAGAACTCCAGAAGTGAGCTTGGTTGGACTTCTCATTTGTGGGATTGTCTGACCACTAAATGGTTGATGAGAGGCCTTAGTGGATGAGAGTATTGATACACTGAAATACACAAAATGCACATTTCCTTTTTTTTCAATATAAAATACCAATATACGGTCAGTGTATTTAAGAGGCTGGTAATATGAGTCTTTGTTAGTGTTTCTCTGTGTTTTATTTCCCTTTGCTTTCCTGAAACAACTAACTCTAATGAAACCTGACATCTTAGTGCTACAATATGTTGACCCTCCTTCTTATTGTGCATTGAAAATGTGTTAAATCATCTGTCTTAAAGTGTTTAGGGTGTCCTAGGTTTCTCAAAGGTGATCATGGCCCCAAGATTATTTGTTTTCTTATTGAAACATAGAGCAACCAGATATGAATGAAGGTGAGCACGATTGGACTCGATACCCAATAGCCAATTTTTGTAATAGACATTGTGATGCATGTCCCAGATCTTGTCTTCACAACATTCAGAACTAATTTGTTTCCCAGCTGGAGTTGACTGCTGATGGATCATGATTGAATTCCCTCTGAGGATGGCTCTCTGAAGAAGATAACTGCCTTGCCCAAGGTCATACCCCAAGGGGAGCCTGCATCCAAGAAAACATCAGTAGGGAAGAATAAAGACGTAGCCATCTTGGCAGAGCTGGGGACAATTCTGAAGGGCCTTCCTGTCCCACAGCTCTCTTTGAGATCAGCTGATGCCTTTGTTGCAATGCTTGCTGTTCAGCATTTTCTTCTGTTCCTGCTCCTCTCATTCCTTCAAAGATATCCCAGGAGCTCTCCAATAAACTTAGTGCATGCACATCTCCACCTTGGAGTCTGGTTCCTGAACAACAGAAGCCAAGTCAATGTTAAAATAGTTAGAAGATGATCAGGCTGTTTCTGAAGCCGTCTGTCAGAAGTATGGAATATAATTCTAAATGAGAAGGACAACTTTAACAGACCATGGTACAAGTTTCTCCAGCTTCCTATTGTAACGACAGCTAGACGGACAACTTTCTATAAACATCTCTTAAAGACCATGAAAGTTGGAAAGAAGGTGAGAGGAACTAAGATGCTATCAGGATTTCGTGAACTTGCTGAGATCCAAGTTCTATCGTTTGGCAGCAACATTTGCTTTGGATAGTTGATTGCAGCAGGACGGTGACCCAGGGCAATGTTTCTCAGACAAGGGACACTCGCTAAAAATTCGGAATCCCAGACCCTCCTTAGGGGTCAGAATCTGCAGGGCAGGGTCTGGTGATCTGTACTTAGCAGTCATTCCAGGACGTTCTTATAAATAGGGAAGACTGGGAAAATTAAACTATGACAAAAAGTCCATCCAATGCAGCTATTGAGAGAAACTATTTTTATAGAAATGAAAACAACAACAAAATCTCTGCATAGAGCCATCTTTTGTTATGAGCTGCCTTAGTCACAGTCTCGGAGGCCCAAACAACTACTTCTCCCATGTTGGTTACCAAGAAAACCACACTAATGAAAACAGTCAACAAATTAGATGTGCAGTCTTTCAAAGCACCATTTGTTCATGATGGAAATTAAAGCACCCTGGTGATAGAGCAATAGAATCCCTTTGGATTCTGGAAAGGCAGATTACTTTGTGCCTTCCCTTTGTGTCCAGGATTTGGGATAGATAATGATAAAGTAACTCGAGTCTTGGAATCTGAAGATAGGCACGGCAAGGTCATCTTCTCAGTGTTTCCTGAGGATCCTGTATTTCTTCCAGATGACTGGTGTTCTTTCTTACTTTGTTCCCTGTATTACAAAAGGCATAGTCAAATACTGGTTGATGTACTACACACATAGCCACATGCTAAGCTAATTCAGTGCTACAGAACATTATGGTATTTTTATTTGCAACCTATCAGGATAAATTATTTAGATGTTATTTCAATAGTGTTAGGTCAGAAATATCTTTTCTCCTATTCCTTTAAACTATAACAATTTTTTTAATATAACAATTTGCTTTTCGTTAAAAGCATGAAAATAGTCATTCATGTAATTCCTGTTGGGTTTGCTAGGAAGTTAGCAATTTTAGACTCAATAATTAGATTTAGCTACTCCACGTTTCATGAGAATATTGGGACTATCAGCATTTCACCACTTTTAAATAGTGATAACCAAGAAGTCGGCAGAAAATAAGCTTTATTACATCTATGGTAATGAGGCTTGCTGTTCAGAGTCTCTAATAATTCCTTTGGGTATCCCAAGGAGTCAGAGCCAACGAAGGCAAAAGTATGTCTTTTTGACAGTCTAAAGACTTTGCAGATATTGATTTCCTATCCTTTTGACACTCGTATGGGGTTGATGTTTCCTTCATAAATGTACTTGGTTTCCCTCAGGGTCACTCAGTGGGTTTCTCTGACAAATTTACAGTTCTGGATAGATTTGTGATCACATGATAAAGTCTTTGACAAGTTTCTTTCCCCCCCTCACCCATGACTTGAAACCATTCTTTGCTAATTAAAAAGTTTCAGTCCGCTTACAAAGGCTTTATGACCAATTAAGGAAATCTCTACTGAAAAACATTTCAGAAGGTATGCTACTTAGTTTGCACAGGAAAAACGTACACCGCTCACGTTGTTGCTCAGAACTTCAGATATATATAATGGACAATTTCACTAAGTATTTGAATATTTGGGCCACTTCAAATAAACGTGTTTTTCCCCTTTGTAAGAGGATGTCTTTATCTTTTATTTATTTTTATTATTTATTTATTTTGTAGAGAAAGGTTCTCACCCTGTCGCCCAGGCTAGAGAGGAGTGGCACCATCATAGCTCACTGCAGCCTCAACCCCAGGGGCTCAAGCGATCCTCTCACCTCAGCCTCCTAAGTAACTGGAACTACAGACATGCGCCCACCACACCCGGTTAATTTTTAAATGTTTTGTAGAGATAGGATCTTAGTATTTTGCCCAGGTTGGTCTCAGACTCCTGGGCTCAAGCTATTCTCTCATCTTGGCCTCTCAAAGTATTGGGATAATAGGCAAGAGCCACCCCGACTGGTTTGTTTTTATACCTGGGTAAAAATACTTGTTTCACTATAGACTACAGCAACACACAGACATACCTAAATACAGACATACATAAAACCAATGCACATATATCAGCATGAACAATCAGATGGCTGAATCAAATTTTGCAGTGTATTTCAACCAATACTTACTATCAGCAGATCTTTGGCAGTGGAAAAGAGGGAGACATCATGTGACATGATGCCTTCAACATTTCATAACTTCTGCTTGAGAAACCAATACTTAGTATTTTAGTTTTAGGGATTCTAACATGGCATCACAATAACTGGTTGAAATGCAACGTTTATTTCCATTTTGCACTACCAAAACCAAGCAACAACAACAACTAAAACAAAATGTTTAGGTTATTTCCCCCTTTTGGATGAATTTTAATGACCTTGTGACTTTATTAAAAGTAGCAGAGATGAGGAAGGTAAAGTTGAAAGAAGTTCCAACTTCTGGAATTTGATTTGGTGACCAATGGGACAGAGTGGAACAAAACTTTCATGACGGCAAGACCTTATTTGTGCTAAATGGTGGGAATACAGTAATACACAAAACAATATAAGCATTTAATATTTATTCAATAAAGAACTAATGGAAAATTTAAAAATGAGTTAGATTGGTTTATCTGAAGTTCCTAGATTGGGATTTTGAATGGGTCATGATTTTCCAAATCTATGCTGTCTAATATGGTAGCCGCTAGCCATATGTGGCTACTGAATTTAAACTAATTTGAATTAAAGTTTATTTATTAACCAGGCACATTTCAAATGTTCAATAGTCACAGTCACTAGTGACTATCCTACTGGATAGTATAGAGATAGAACATTTGCACTATTGCAGAATATTCTGTTGGACAGCGCTACTCTAAACAGATATGAAAATATTAAATAGAAGAGCAGGAATGGGAACAGCTGCCCTCTATTACAGTTTCACATTTCCAACTGCTTTCATACACGTCGTACTGACTCTGCAGACTTTACATATTTTAAATCCAAACTCAACCAAAATCTCCTCCAAATCCCTAATTTTATAATTAGCACTACCTTTCTACCAGAAACCAAGGCTCAAAACATACGTGCAGTCTTTGTTTATTTTTGTAAAGTTAGATTAAAACCCTGTAGATACTTTCCCTACACTATCTGTTAGATGGATTCTTTCTTTCCCACTTCTGCTGTTTGAATGACTTGCATACTTTGAAACATACTTGATATTTGTAATAAGAGATGACCTTTTGACATAAGAGCAAGTACTCTGATTCCAGTGGGGAAAAAGATATGCAAAAAAGACAAATTTGTAATCAACCCATCCTTGTTTGATTTAGCTTGTAAATGATACTTTACATAGCTTTCCATCCATCTTTTGTACAACTTTATTGAGGAAATAAACTACATGTATTTAATTTGTACATTTTATTTAGTTCGGACACCTGTGAAACCATCAACAATCAAAATAATCAATGTTTCTATTACTCCCAAACTTGTGCTTTTTTATACTCAATTCCAATGCAACCACCTATTTACCCACTCATCCCTATCCCCCACTCTCTTTCAGAGAAAGAGACTTTACATTTAAAACATGTAAAGTCACTATAGATTAATTTGCATTTGGTAAAGTTTATACAAATGTTCATATAAAGGGGGAAAATGACACTACTTTATCTTTTTTGGACATGTGCCATTGTTCTAATGTAGTTTAGATAATATGATCAATACCTTGCAATTTGGTTAAAAAAAAATATGGATAGAGGCTGGGCATGGTGGCTCACGCCTGTGATTCCAGCACTTTGGGAGGCCTAGGCAGGCGGATCACCTGAGGTCAGGAGTTCGAGACCAGCCTGGCCAACATGGTGAAACCCCTTCTCTACTAAAAATTCAAAAATCAGCTGGGCGTGGTGGTCGGTGCCTGTGATTCCAGCTACTCAGAAGGCTGAGGCAGGAGAATTGCTTGAAACAGAGAGGTGGAGGTTGCAGTGAGCTGAGATCGTGCCACTTCACTCCAGTCTGGGCAACAGAGCGAGACTCCGCCTCAAAAAAAAAAAAGTATGGATAGATGTAATTATTCAATGCCCCAACTATAGGATTTGCATAACACTGGAGATATATTAAAATATATTTTCCCCCAAATGATAAAATTTCTACATGCTGGGAGATGTTTTTGTATCAAGTCTGTAAGTTCAAGAAAAGTCACAAAAATAATAAGGCGTATTGAAGAATATGAAAACCAATAAGATAAATCCTTTCGCATTTTTAGTATGCTAAGAATTGACAGAGATGTCCAATAGTTAAGCCAATTCATGTATATTATCCTTTGCATTACTATGCTTAAATACTAATGAAAGCCAAATGTTTCCTTTAAAGATGACATAGAATCAAAAGTTTCAGGGACTTCCTCATTATTATTAACAAAAATACATGTTATGTTCAGATGGAAATTCCACAAAGTCAAGGGGAGCCAGGAGAACCTCAAAAAAGAGCTATCTTCTTTCCTGAGATATTCATTGGCATTTTGGCGTTTTGGGTGAACCAGAGTATTCAGTGAGAGAGCATCATTCACTTTTAATACATAGCTGATTAATAAAGGGTGCATATCTTGGCAATTTTAGGTATCTTTGAACCTTGCTCTTGATTGAGACCCTGGCATTATTTGAACAGTGGGGGACCGTTCACTAAAGGCACTCAGTTGTCTGAGCACCTTAGTTTCCTGCCAGAAAGCAAGAATAGCCTTTCTAAACTAGAGCCTTTGACGCCTGATGTTAAGCTCACTTGGGATCTCTCAGGGTTTAATTTTTGTAAGAATTGCAGAAAGAGCTTGTTTTAAAATTGCAGATTCCAGCCAGGCATGGTGGCTCATGCCTGTAAACCCCACATTTTGGGAGCCCGAGGTGGGCAGATCACTTGAACTCGGGAGTTTGAGACCAGCCTGGGCAAACCCTGTCTCAACAAAAAATATTTTAAAAAAAGTTTGCTGGGCATGGTGGCACATGTCTGTAGTCTCAGCTACTCAGGAGGCTGAGGTGGGAGGATTGCTTGAGCCCCAGGAGGTAGAGGCTGCAGTAAGCCATGATCACACCACTGCACTCCAGCCTGGGCAATAGAGACCCTTGTCGTGGTCAATGACTGTCTGAGGCTGGCACAAGGATAGTAAAGGAATTTGCCAAGACAATAGTGAGTTTAGAAAAGCAGATTTATTTAGAGGAAAGGGAGAGAGACATTGCAAGGAAGCAACGGGCAAGACAGCGGAAAGAAGGCTGTCTGCCAAGAGGCAGGGGCTGGAGGAGAATTTTAGAAGATCGTGCTGCTTAGGCTGAATGCTTGCAGACAGAATGCTTGCGTGCATGTGAGCCATTTGCAGTTGACCCCATTTCTTGGAACATTTGTTCCCCTCTATCCCTGTTTCTGTCCCTGCCAGCTAAGTCCATTTTTCAGTTTTCTTTTAACTCCTTAGGACTCCACAACCCTGTCTCAAAAAAAAAAAATACAGATTCCAGGGTTCAAGCCCTACACATTCTGTTTCTATAGGCCTGTAAAGGAACCATGGAATCTATATATTTAGTAAGTACCATATATAAATATGAAAAATGTGCTCTGTGTTTCAAAGATCACACTTGGGAAAGAAAATGGGACTAGCTTAGAATGGAATGATCCCAGAATGTATGTTGGGTGAAAGCTCCTTGAGGAAGGCCTGTGTGTGTGTGTGTGTGTATTTGTGTGCTCAAACATGTTTTTTTGTTTGAGAGTTGATATGGGTAGGAAAAGGTGGTGGACAAGGATCTCCAGATATATAGCAAGATGTAGCAACATATATAGCAAGATGTAGAGCTATTTCTCTGGCGCTCTGTTGGAACTTTGTTTGTCTCTGAATATTTTCTTGGATAGGGAAAAAGAGAAGGCTTACATAATACTCATTCTCCAAACCCAGTACTCAAATGGGAAAGTTAGATTTACTTAATAGAAAGAGAGAGATTTACAAAAGCCGGAGGAAATATACGAAATATGTGAGTGAGGGCAATTTTGAAATTGGAGACTCTGGATATTTCCTTAAAATAAAGAAGAGACCCTTCTATCTAGAATGGTTTGGATTAAGGATCCCTGGTACTATGGAGAAGGGAGGGAGGAATTCAGATATCTTCAGAGATCCTTTCAGCTTTTTCTCCATAATTCTGCAGGAATTATTAGTCTTTGCGGCAGTTAGCCATTAGCTGATTTTTTTTCCTGCATATTCACCCCAATACTGTTTTCACCATGAAAGCCGCTTTTCTCACTGCTAAATGTGTTTAGAAGCTGTTTGGTTTTCACTTCCTCAAGGCGATTTTTAGAACCTTTTTATTCCTTGATTAGAATTCAGTGATGTATAAAAGCTTAGTTATTTGAAATTCTGGTATACCAACTCAAAAAATTACAAGAAAGGATAGTGTGTATGTGTGTGTGTGTGTTTGTGTCTGTGTGTTTTCACATAGACTTTAATAGAGTTGATCATTCTAATTACTTCAACGATATGGACTATTATTTAGTTCTCTTATTTTTTTTAACTTTGTTTTCTATGTGACTATTTTGGTAAAATTATGTCACTTGTTTATGTGGTAGCCTTTGGTTCTTAAATGGCAAATTCTAATAACTAAAAGATTAAACAATTACTTATGATTAATTTCATATTTCCACAATACCTTATTATATTTTGTGCACAAAGCTTTTCAGGGTGGGAGAAAAACTACAGAATGTCTGGTTTTTCTAGATACTTTTACTTTTTTTTGGTTTGTAATACAGAATATCATAGTGTTTAACAGCTCGGTCTTTAGAGTATGACACACTTGTTTATAAATCTCAACCCTGACAAACATGCTTATGAAAAGAAACCATGCCATTTACTAGCTAAATGACCTTGGCAACAATTTAAACTGTCTGTACCTTGATTATCTCACCTCCAAAATGGAGAAAATAATAATACATTCTTCCTGGGGCTGTTAGGAGGATTGGATGCATTGTAACAAAGAATACTGTCCATAGTAAACATGGTAAAAGTAAAGTGTAGACTGTTATTAATATTATTAGTAGCTGTATCACCTAGCATTTTTTTTCAGGACAATCATTAACCATTGTCACATGAAGTTTAATAAAAAAATACATCTTTGCAGTTATAATAATTTTATGTGATTATAGTAATTTATTCAGAGCTGTGATAATTCTTTAACTTTGTGACAAAGTTTTTGTGTATATTTGTCATTCTATTTACTTAGGGAGCATATGAAAAATAATTCCTGTTGATGCACAATCTGGAATGTATGAGGTAAAGTCGCCTGTATGAGAAGCAGCTCTATCACAAATCTAGGCCTTAAATTTAAAACTCTGGCCTTTGACTCATTAGTATTTAAGATGGAACCAATGATCTCTTCATTTTACAATGTCTATATTTGCAATACAGAATCAGAGGAAGTAAGGCTCAAGGAAAAATATTGATTCCCCTTTAGCAAACCTGTTGAAATACACTGTTGTAGGCCTTGTTATTTTTTTAAGTGTCTGGATTTTCTTTATGAATTCATTAAAACATATTTTAGCAGCTCCGGTGGCCCAATATCTCATTCCAACATAAACTTACCACTGGAAGGCACATACCATTTGGCTCACCTTTTCATTTCATGGCTAAATAATAATGACAAATTACAGGTGCTAAAGTGAAGTTAGATGCCTTAGCTTAAGAAGTGATTCGATGCTCCTGGTATTAATCTTCTGTCCAGAGCTTCTTTATATATATGGCATCTCTCTTCTGATTGGCAATTAATGTCTTATATGCTGGAATTCCATTTCAGCAACCTGAAAATGATATTACCTTTCATAATTGGTAATAACTTTGGCTCATCATTATATCTTAGTTTTAACTTCACTATAAGATATATATATGTATATATACATATATACATACATATATATACACATACATATATATATAGAGAGAGAGAGAGAGAGAGTTTGGTTTCAAGTGATGTACATTGTGGAGCGGGCTCAATTCTCATTAAGAGAGGATGTCTTTCGTAATTTGTATTTATCTAGATATCTTGATTCTCCCTAAAGTGAATTTTCCAGCATCTCATAGTCCGTCATTCAAAGTATGTGAAAAATAGCTGTATGAAACATTCCTGCAGTTTTCATAGAAATTTCTTATATTACCCTTATATATTATGACTCTGATAAAGACACTTATTAAGTTCATATAGCTTTATTGTAGGTTATCTTTGGGAGTTCTGTGTTTGTGATCATGTCATCAGTGAAGAGTGTGTTGTCGCTTTTTTTCCAGTCTGTATGCTATTTTTTCCCGTCTTATTGCATTGGGCAGGAATTGGAATACAATGTTGAATAGAGGTCGTTAAAATGGACATATTTGCATTGTTTCTGATTTTAGATAAAAAGCTGTGAGTCTTTTACCAGTAAGTTTGATATCAACTAAAGATTTTCTGTAGGTGCCCTCATAAAATTGAGAAATATACTATTTATTCCTAATGTACTATAAGTGTTTATCACAAATGAATGTTTAATTTTGTCAAATTTATTTTCTGTATCTACTGAGTTGGTCATAGGTTTTTTTTTTTCCTTTTATTTTACTAACGTGGTGAAGCATATCAACTGATTTTTGAAAATTAAACCAATTTTACATTGTTGGGATAATAATACCTTTTGATGGTGGTACATCATCAAGTTTAAATATTTCTTAATTTAATTTGCTAAAATTTTATTTGGAACTTTTGTTTCTACATTCATGAGTAATATTGATCTACAAATCTTTCTTGCAATGTCTTTTATGGTTTTGCTATCAGTGCAAAATCTGCAAAAAGTGTTGAAGAATGTTGCTTTCTCATTTTTATCCTAAAAAAAATGTGCATAGGATTACTTTATTCCTAAATGCAGTGAGAAACAATAACAGTTCTATCCTTGATAGAATTCACCCCAAAGACATTATGGGACTTGAATCCTTTTTTGGGGAAGATATGTAATTACAGATTCAGTTTCTTTGACAGACAGAAGATTATTTACGCTGTCTGTTTCTTCTTTCATCAGTTTTGGCCAATTTGATTTTCAAAGTACCTGTCTGTTACATCTAAATATTCACATTCGTTAGTATGATTCTTTATTATACTTTTTATTATCTTTTAATATCTAAAGTATATGTAACACAGTGATGTTCCCTCTCTTAATCCTGATTTCGTTAATCTTTAGTGATCGGTTAAGGCATAAGTTTATCAATTTTATTCATGTTTAAAAATTACCTTGCTACGCTTTCATTGATTTTTCTTTCTGATTATTATTTCTGCAACTTATATTTTGTCCTCTTGTTTTTCTTATTCTTTTAAGATTCTTAAGGTGATGTGTGTATCATGGATTTTGGACCTTTCTTCTTTTATAATAGGTGCACTTAAAACTACATGTTTCATTCTAAGCATTTCTTTTGCTGTATCTCATGGATTTTTATGTTGTGTTTTCATGTTCACTTAATCAGAAATGTTTACTATAGCCAGTAATTTTTCTTCATCCATGAGTTACTTAGAAACATGTTCTTTAATTCCTAAATATTTGAATATTTTGCAGAAATATTTCTATTATTATTTCCTAATTTAATTACAGTTGTAGTTGGGAAATATGCTTTGTTTGATTTTAATCTTTGTTAATCTATTGAGACTTATTTTAGAGCCAATCATATGGTTTATCTTGGTGACTGGTTCGTGTGGACTTGTAGAGTTTGTACTCTGTGGGTTTGAAATTTATTTCTCTGTAGATATTAATGACATTTATTGATAATGTTGTAACCAACTGAATTTCCATCTATTTATCTTACCAATTAATGGGAACACTGAAATCTTTATAACTATAAACTTGTCTTTTTCCGCCTTTGTTCCATCAGTTTTGCTTCAGGTGTTTTCCTAGTTGAAAGTAAAACCACTAAAAACACTTTTAGGTGTTTTGCAGTTCTTATAGAAGCTCTAATAGAACATCATCTACAGGTACCCACTGCTTCTAGAATTAGGAAAATGTCTTCCAAATTGGGTGTGTTTGTGAAGGAGTGGGTTCAGTATATGGGAGTAAACAAATTAGTGGAAGAGTCAGGCAAGAAGCAGTCATCCTGAAGGTTTAGCTCTACTTTGCAGAAACTACTAGCATAGAAGAAAGAATGAAGGTCTTAGGATGATGCTGTGTTATAGACAGGCAGGTCTTCAGTCAAGTGGACCAGGGGATCAGCAGAAGACTTTGACTGCAGGCCCAGACACTGGAGTGATTAAAGGAGGAATATTGGGGCAAAAGACTCATTCTGGATATTGGATCAGTACAATGAGAAAAAGCTGAGAAAAATAAATCACAGATGCCCAGTGCTATTCACTGATAACGCCAGATATCAGCTCAAACTGAGAACTGACTCCTGTGAGTAGCAGATGTGATATGATGAAAAGGGCACACATCTTTGAGGCAATCTTAAGTTCAAATTCTGCTTCTGTGATTGAATACGTCACACACATATCTTGTGCCTTGTGATCTTAGAAGATAAACTGCCTGTTTACTCATTTTGTAAGTTGAGACAATGTCTATTTCAGAGGGTTGTTGGATATAAGATGTAATAAAATTTAATATATAGAATAAACAGTCTAATACATAGTAGGTTTTCTATAAATGTTAGATTTCTTCCTTCCTTCATAAAGCCAGATTGAGGATGTGAATATAGAGAAGGAGATGATATGGCTCTGAGACACTTATGCTGCATTGAGATAAAGAGTTAATAACTGTGCTATTTTTCTCTCAAGAACCTCTAATGCCCAAGAGCTAGAGGTCTTGTCTAAAACATTTCTCTCTGCTGAAGAAATGAACTCTCACTGCAGGGAGAAGGTAATGTCATTTTCAGGTGAATGCCACCTACTGTGCATGACTGCTTTCTGCCCCATTTGTGACTTTTATTGAGGAGCACATAAAAGTGCTCCTCACTTTTATGACAGTGAGGACATACTAACAGTTTTGCTGTATGTGTTCCTTTGCTTATGACATTGCTTTTTTGGGGGTGTGGTATATTCCTAGATGCTCAGAGTGACTTCACGGTTACTTTTTGTTTTCCTAATTCCTTACTTTTCCCATTTAGTAGAAATTCTTATTTACCTATGCAAAGCCATATAAACTCTGTTTATAACCATTGCTTACCATATATCCTGCATTATCTTATAAGGCTGTAATTATCAACCTCATGAATGCCATTGCGTGAATCCAGTACCCATGCTTTGGGTTTATTGCCTTGCAATTCTATATTCTTGGTCTCCTTATTCATCCTCCTTTGTGGCCCCCATTTCACAACCATCTGCTTTCTACCAATCAAGAATGACAGCACATTACTTGTAGCCCTGCTTCAACCACCTCCCCTGTCCCTGAACAACTGTGGTTAAATCGTCTTTATTTTATGATTTTACCGGCTGCCAAAGACTAAAGCAATCACAACTGATAAATCCTGAAGTGCTTCCATTAACCAATCAGGGGTTGTCACTGCTGTCAAGTCTGCCCTGAGAGAGGCCATTTTTGGTAGCTTAGTATTCTTGTGTATATGTCCACTGGGGATAGGTATGTTTAGCCAGTTAAAAGGGTTTTCAACTCTGCAGTTAGTTACAGAAACTAGTTCTAGGAGCTTAAAAAAATTCCATTCTGTGCCTTTCAAA
The DNA here is from genome assembly GCF_000001405.40 of Homo sapiens. Lineage (NCBI taxonomy): Eukaryota > Metazoa > Chordata > Mammalia > Primates > Hominidae > Homo > Homo sapiens. Next base: position 85,358 of record NT_187615.1, on the reverse strand, counting down.
ATATAAGACAGGTTTGGTAATTTTCTTGTTGTTCCTTGGTTGTTCTAGAAGGTGATTACGCTTACACATCTTAAACAGAGTGAAGAAGAAACAAGATTTAAATTTTCACACTTGGAGATAATCAAGGAAACCGGGAGAGAATTTGTAGCAATCTGAAAGCAGCAAGAAACAATAAGGATTGGCAGGGCAGCAATGAGTGACACATGTTGCTGAGTGATTCTCCACCACTCAATGGCACCAAGTTTGACATTTAAATTGCAGGCAGCCCTGGGTCCATTCCAGGAGCTGGCTGTGGTTGAGTGCAGTTCTGATCACTTGCTTGAGGGGTGCAGTGGGGGTAAAGAGAGAGGAAAAAAAAGAAAAATCAAATTGTTCTCGGAAATCATGTTTAATGTAGAAATCTGGTTAATATTAAAATGCAATCTGCAGTTTTCAAGTATTCTATTCCTCAAGGAAAATATTTCCTGTTCAAGGGGCAGGGGCAGTAAGCTCTCCCTTATTACATCACTTCCTATGTCAGGCCAAACTAGCATTCAAAATGTATTACCGTATTGATAATGCTAATTTCAAAATGATGCCTTTTTCCCCCCCTTTGGTTAAAGGGTCTGGGCAAAATTCCAATCATATGGATCAATTTAGCCTTAGATGGCGCTGCCCAAACTGCTATTTCATGCACTATATAGAATATAGTTCTTCCACATGCTCAGGAATAGTAGTCCATGTCTCCTTTCTACCCATAGCATAACATTATGTTTCCAAAAGTTTCCCAAGAGAGCACCTACCTCATGGGTTTTAGAAAAGGGAATGTCATATCTTTGGGAGGGAGGGATACCACATCATTCTCTACACACAGGCAGCCTCCAATTTTTGAATTACTAGGGAGTTAGGAATTGATTTCTGGAACTCAACTTTGTGCCATGTTCAAATCAACCTGGTATTTTCCCTGTGGGCTTGGCTGGCTTTCACTGCAACTGCTCTCATCACCAGGAGGACATGCGGGTATAACCACTGGTATTTACCCCTCTTTTATCCATTTTTTTTTCTGCAATGCCTTAAAACACTAAAGCTGATGAGTTATTGGAATGAAGTCTTTTCAAATATCTGTCACCCACATAGTTAATCAGCATTCTTACCTTTTTATATTTAAAAAAAGAAAGAAATTTTAAAAAGCCACTAACAAAAGATCAATGTGAAAGCACCCAATGTTCCAGACCAGAAGAAGGCAGTTTTATTTTTCTTGAGACTCTCTATTCTTTTGGAGTCTCTGCTGGGTAGAGCTGATCATACTGACAGTGGGGCAAGAAGTGCTTGATAGATGCCAAGAGAGAAAGCTTACCTCCATTAAGGTACTACTAATTTATCCTTTTTTGTTTTTGAGAATTTCCCCCAAATAGAAAATCTTCTACTTATGTTTACTGCATTTTCCCATTAATACAAAGATACAAAACAAACATTTTTTGATGCTAATAATATGTTTAGAGTCTACGCTTTGCAATAATGGTGGCTGCCACTCAAATGTAATTTAATAATGAGGTTTTATTCAAACCTGTTTTCTTTAATTTTAAATCCTTCATAATGCCCAAAATTTATAATGCAATTTTAGTGGAATTACACTGAATAACTTGAAATTATAGAATTAGTTACATGCAGTTTCATTTACAGTTGCCCATTGATTCAAGCCTGCTAGCTGATACCAGAGGTAGTTGGTTGCACAATGCCACAGGAGGAATTTATTTAGGTTTACTGGGCTATGTTTTTTTCTATGCTAGCCAATTAGGGAAAATTAAGCTATTTAGCTAAACAGTCTTATACTGGTCATTGAGGGCCAACTTGTGCTTATTTGACCTAATGACTACTTTCTTGTCTCAATGTTATGGGCTCCTTACAGTATTGTGGTAGATTAATTGGTATAATAGCTACCCCAATATCTCAGTAGCTTAACACAATAAAGCCTTATTTCTGAATTACGTAACAATCCCATGAAGGTCTGAAGAGGTTCTCTGTTCCACAGAGTAATTCAGGGATCCAGGAACCTTTATCTAGTAGCTCCATTTTTTTTTTTTTAAGATTGCAACTGAATCCTCTGTAGTGACTGAAAAAAAAAAGGAGAGATCGAATATGGCAAAGGCATACTTGTTCCAAGTTGTTGTTTCCTGAAAGTGACACATGCTACTTCTACTTACATTCTGTTGCTGAGCAGTGTTCATACAGAAACAATCAGATGTAAGAGAAGGGGTGGAATGTATCCTAGAAGCATAGGTATGCTGGTAAAAGTTTGACAGTTGGGTTTCCAGAGGGGAAAAAAAAAATCTCTGATCCATGGGATTTGCCATTTTCCACAGCGTCAATAACTCCCGCCATGGCCAGGTTCAAGCTTGTGATGATGTCTTGGAAAAGTAAGACTATTAAATTAGGACACCAGTGAGAAATCTCTTGAAAAAAGACCAGATAAAAATGGGGTATTGCTAAATGTGGATGGAATTGGGAAGGGATGTACACAGTCTGCTCTCACAAGCGAGCATGGTGCTGACTGAGCACATCACTGCCTAGGAATATGCTGAGTAAGAAGCAGTGAAGCTGAACATTGGTGAGCATGGCCGTTTCCATGCCACTTACTCAGTGGAAGACATTGTGTAAGATGGGGTGAGATGGACACAAGTATGAGCCTATGCTGATTGCATTTAAGGAGCTCACTGTACTTGGGAGGATTAGCATAATTATAAAAATAGCTAATATCTAATGCATGGTCACTGTTTTCCAGGCACCCTCTCAAGAGATCTATAACTTAACAACTCTATAATGTAGGTATTCTTTTTATTCTTATATTATAATCTAATGGAGACCCCGAGAGACTTAGTAGTTTGCTCGAGCTAAAGCATAATTGATTCTGATTAGGAACTATAGTAAGCCTTGTGTAGAAAGAGGTATAAGAGCAAGTCTGTGAAGAAGATTTTAATTGGAGAGTGAAAGAGAGAGGGTGTATGACTGTGTTTGGGTGGTTGGTGGGGGTGAAATTATAAGCTAAGGGAGCAGGACAGTGAATGTAAGTGAAGTGTGAAAATCTATGAGTAACAAAGCTACTCATGTTCTTTGATAACATAACCTTGCTTCTGGGAGGAATTTATCTTGAAAAAATAATTTTAACAAGACCTAAAATCATTTTGTTTATATACATGAGATATTATAATATTTAAAAGTATCAGATCAGCGGAAAGAAAGCACAGGACCAACAAGAAAAATATTTTTAAAAATTCTAGACTCTCTGAATGCTGGTGATAATTATGATGATGATGAAGATGATGATGATCATTGCTATGGGCCACATCTAAGCAGAAAAGAACAAGCATGCTTTTCACCACATTGACTGGTTTACCTGACTCTTTGTTGAATTGTACTAAGTTAACAAGATAATATTATCTGCCTATTTGGAAATATGAAATATTTGTGATAATTGCAAAATCAGAATATTAAATAGCAGGTGAATTGTGCACACACATTCAAAAGGAGAGGAGGACAGCATCATGCTAAAAAGGGAAATAGCAGATTTTGAGATATGGGATTATATTTAATATTTTTCTAAACTCTTAATATTAGATATGGGGCATATATTCAATTAGAAAGGTTGATTATGTAGTGTTAGATTTGCAGACTCAATCAATGTGATTGGAATAATGGGTGAAAGGAGATTAGATAGAGTGAATAATTATGTAGTACAGTGGAAAAAGCCCTGAGTTTTGCTAACTAAGCAGATTTTAGTTCACACTACAAAGGGTGAAAAGCTATCACTCATTTCTTTGAAGAGGTGCATAATATAGTATGAACCCTAGAAACAGTGTGATGATGTCTTGGAAGAGCAAGACTATTAAGCAATCAGTGAGAAATCTCTTAAACACCAGATAAAAAAAGAAGATATAGTTTAGAGTAGCATTGGTAGGGCTTAAAGGAGAGAGAATGGGTAAATTCTAGAAATGGACAACACTTGGAAGACTTGACTGATTTGGGCAGATGACAAGGTCAGGAGTTCGAGACCATCCTAGCTAACATGGTGAAACCCCATCTCTACTAAAAGTACAAAAATTAGCTGGGCATGGTGGCAGGCGCCTGTAGTCTCAGCTTCTTGGGAGGCTGAGGCAGGAGAATTGCTTGAACCCAGGAGATGGAGGTTGCAATGAGCCGAGACTGTGTCACTGCACTCCAGCCTGGGCAACAGGGTGAGATTTCTTCTCAAAGCAACAACAACAACAACAACAAAACAGATTTGAAGGTACAGAGGATACAAAGAAGTTGCAGGAAACTGATTAGTTAAATTTTAGGGCATATTGAGTCAATATGTCAGCAGGCTCTGTGTTTAGAAACATGCTGTGGAACTGGACACTTAGATCCAAACTGTAGAGAAACACCACAGTGGGATGAAGATTTGGGGATCACCAGATGAGAGCCGAGATGATAAACATTGAGAGAGAAAGTGGTGGGCCAGGCAGACGCCTGGAGAGCAGAAAGGAGAGCAGAGGCCTAAGAGGGGGTACTCAGCAGGGATTGAAGGAAAGGGGTTAAGACAGGAGGCAGAAGGTGCAGATGTGACAACAACGGTTTTAATTTTCTTAAATATAGAGGAGACCTTAATATATTGTGGGTTAAGGAAAAGAAGCCAGAGAGATAGGAAAATTGAACATATAAAAAGACAAAGAATGATTCGCTTGTCAAGGTCTATGTCAGAGGAGGCTAAAAGGATGGGAATCAAGGATTATGGAAAAAGGCTGAGTGCAGTGGCTCATGCCTGTAATCCCAGCACTCTGGGAGGCCAAGGCAGATGTATTACCTGAGGTGAGGAGTTTGAGAACAGCCTGGCCAACATGGTGAAACCCCGTCTCCACAAAAAAAAAAAAAAAAAAAAAAATTAGCTGGGAGTGGTGGCACGTGCCTGTGATACCAGCTACTTGGGAGGCTGAGGCAGGAGAATCGCTTGAATCCGGGAGATGGAGGTTGCGGTGAGCCGAGATCGTGCCAGTGTACTCTAGCCTGGGTGACAGAGGAAGACTCTATCTAAAAAAATAAATAAATAATAAAAAAAAAGAATTGTGGGAAAAATTCAAATTGTAGAGGAGTGGGATCCATATTTGTTTTAAGACAGGAGAAAATGAGGAAAACATGGGAGAGACATTTGGGAGAGGTATAAAGGGGAATTGAGAGATATTTGTTATTTTCTCTGTCTTGTAAGGGGAGGCAGATTAGAGATTTCAAATAGCTGGTATCTGCCAAGGGGCTGGAGACAACACTAGAAGAATAAAGCTATTAGAAAGAAAATGCCCAGAAACATTTTTACATGATGATTTTATACAGAGGCAATGCTGTTGGAAGAGAAGAATACAATAGGGGAAAATAAAGGAAAGAGGTGACGAAGGTGAAAACAACAGAACAAGCAGAGGCAAAGAAAAGGAAGAGATATCTATTGAGAGAAGTGGTAGAGAACCATCAGCACCAATTTCCAGTTTTTTTCTGCCCATGTTCCAACTTTTGATTATATGTTGCTCTTTATCCCTTAATCCAGAATCTGCCTCATCCTTTTAAGACACTATCGTGTTAAGATGCATGGGTAGTGAATACACACAACTTTAACACACATTTACCTAGTTTGTATAGCAACTTGTTATTAACCTACCCTAACAGAGCCTGGGAATACTGAAAGTATGTCAGGCTATTCTAAATCTATTGAGATAATAACTGGCATCAATTTTATCTCTCCTCAACAAAGCTTTCTTAAAAGCTAGACAATAGTCTAGAGCAGGATTTAGCAAATTATGATCTGTGTGCCAAATTCAACTTGCTGCTTGTTATAAATAAAATTTTATCAGAACACAATCATGCTTCTTATTTTTATAAATAAAGTTTTGTCAGAACATAACCATGCTCATGCATTTACATATCTATGGCTACTTTTGTAGTTGAGCGACCACAACAATACCGCATCATCTGTAAATAGTATCATATGGTCTGTAAAGCCTAAAATATTTTTAAGCTGTCCTATACAGAAAAAGATTACTGAATCCTGTGGAATAAGCTGTGCATCAGTAACAAAGCAACTACTTACATACTCATGGAATTTCCCCAGTGGGACATTCATTTTCAAATGATGATAGAAATTTTTACATCTGTGTTCTGAGCAATTGCAAAGAAAATATCATACGTTGAAAGGCAATATCAACCTAATTCCAAACCATCAGGCTTTGATGGTAAAAGCCAAAAAAGAAACTCTATTTGAAGACTCAAGGCTTACCATCTCCATAGTACTGACAACTATGTGGTTTTCCAGATGGTTTTCATGTCCTTAGACAGCATCCTTTCTCCCTCGTAAAACAACCTGATGAAAGGGTTTTTGGTAGCATGTACCTTTCCAGTGCTGCTAGAGAGAAGATGATAGGATACAAGGTGTTCTTGGTCGGTTCCCAAATTCTCAAGAAGTTTCCATGTGGGTAGATGTGCACTGTTGATTTTTAAATTATACCTTAGCAGAAAGAATGTCAAATAACTGAATTATGGCAACCTCTTGGAAAAGAGGTTGCTAGCTGCCTCATCTCATTAAATGCTGAGAGACAGAGAGAGAGAAAGAGACAGAGAGAAAGGAAAAAATAAAATTCTTTCTCAGAATATTAGGCACTTCATGGTTTATTTTTTTATTTTTTTGAGACGGAGTCTCGCTCTTTCGCTCAGGCTGGAGTGCAGTGGCGCGATCTCTGCTCACTGCCAGCTCTGCTTCCCGGGTTCACGCCATTCTCCTGCCTCAGCCTCCCGAGTAGCTGGGACTACAGGCACCTGCCACCACGCCCGGCTAATTTTTTGTATTTTTTTTTTTAGTAGAGACGGGGTTTCACCATGTTAGCCAAGATGGTCTCGATCTCCTGACCTCGTGATCTGCCGGCCTCGGCCTCCCAAAGTGCTGGGATTACAGGCGTGAGCCACCACACCCAGGCTTCATGGTTTTAATGAAGAACCTGATCTCTGTTTGAGGCTTAAAAAAAAAACTGGGGGAGACAGTTTTCACCTTGTATTCCTTTGGAATTACACACAGACAAACTTTGCCTGACTTAGACATGTCTAGCCCAAAGGCAGAAGATGATTATTATGTTCTAATACTTGAATTATTGTCTCCGTGTATCAAAATCATGTAACTAATTAGCAGCTGAAGCAAGAGTCAGTGGATGACATCCCAGTTTTAGGCAAAATAGTGAGAAATGTCTGCATCACAGAATCACAATCATTATATTTTTCTGCTGTAACTGATTCTCTTTATATTCTAACTTCAAAATCAATCACTAAAAAAAACTTGTTATTTGTTAAAATAATAAAAAAAATGACCATCATTAGTGACCATCTACCAAACTGGGTCACAATATTTTCTTATTTAACTTCCGTATTTACAGTCAAGCAGGATGAGCTTTGCAATGAAAAGGACCCAGCAGAATTTGCAATGGGGGTTATGATAACAAAGATGGGGCAAATATTTTAGATATATCCCGAGCTGTTTTGAATGAATTCAAACTTTGGAGCCCGGCTGATTTACTTCCCGCAGTATATTGACAGCACTGGCAAGTAAACACGTTAAACAGATGTCTGGTATCTGTGAATAAGCATGGAGAATAAGAAGGATGTCTGAAGTCTGAATATGGGTAAAGGTTCTAAAGCTCAATGTGGATTCTTCAAGCTATAGAAATGCTTGCCTTCAAAAGAAAGCCTCTAGGACTAGGTGTAAACAAAATGACTTTTAAGCTCCCAGAAGCATTAAGGAATGGTAACAACCAGCATGGCTTCACTAAGAATAAGCAATGTCACACCAAACACATTTTCTTTTTGGCAACTTCCTAGACGTTTGTAACAGGACAATATAACACACTTAAATGTAATGGCTCTTTATCATGACATTTAATATAATGACATGTAACACAGATGATGTTCCAGTTAAAATGTACTGAAGTTACATGTATCCATATTCATGCAGATACTCAATTAAAATACAAAGTATAAATTATTAGGTAGCTTTGTATTTCAGTCAAATACTGTGTGCATTGAGAATTCAGCTCATAGCTTTTCTTTTCCTCTTCATTCTTTCACATGTGTAAATGTGTATGTTCCTTGCCTTTCTGTACTTTACATAAATGGCAGCTTTTATAAAGCTTTCTGCTAATGGAAAGTCAGGAAAAGCTTTGTAAGTTTCTTGACTTCTAATATTGAATAAGGAGCTCAGGACTGGAGCTTAGAACCTTTTTCTTATGGAAACAAACAATAGGGGAAGTTGAAAATGTGATTATACTTTATATTTTATCAATTAATAAAATTTGTATTATTTCATTTACAACTTCTAAATCTACCATCAAGAAGGATGAGAAAATGGAAGGATTTAGAGTGAAAAATCTTAATAACCTTCACAAGATTCTAAGTTTAAGATGCGTATTTATGTTGCGTGTACATGGCAATGCTACCTCTGTATGATATAACTCATGGGCTGCTTATACTAATACTAGACAATATCCACTTTAGATTTTAATGCAATTTAAGACATTAACAATAGTGTTATAGCATAACAGTCTGAGGTTGTAGGATGGACTATAAAGTGAACTTTACCTAATATTATCTAAACACAGAAGGTTTCATTTTCTGATGGAGAGATTATAGGACTACACAACAACATAACTATTTTCTAAAATTATTTTACCATCTATAAGCTTGCACAATATTTGTTTGTCATGACTTGTCTTTTCTACACAGCGAGGATGACAATAGTTCTATTTTGTATAGATTTAGTTAACATAAAAAATTAGCTAAAGAAATCTGCTGCAAGAAAGAAAGGCATTGTAGGAAAAAAAAACCCACATTTGTTAAATTACTAGGATATATCATGAAATCTAAGCAACTTTATAATCAGTCTAGAATGTACTTATATTCTTTCTGTTATTACTGCACGTGCATTAATTTTATTCAGCATAAAACAAATGGGGGAAGACAACTAGATTTTCTTTCCAGATGGTATGAAAACAGCAAGGTCAGACTCGAAGAAAGGCTGTCCCTTTTTACAGAGAACTTAAAGTTTATCACCTCTCATTTAGGTCATAAAACTTGTTTTTCATATTTTTTCCCTGGATTCTTTGGCTTATGATCCACGGGGAGCAAAATGTATGGATCCTAGAAACTGATCAGCCCTTTCTCATCTCCTAAGCATTGATGGCTTGCCTCTTCCCTTCCTTTTCTCCTAGATTTTTATTGATTTCCTTCTTTTTGGTTTCAGATTAACATGGCAATATGCTGGAATACCAAAATTTACTGGCAGAAGTGGAGAGCAAGCAGCTCATTTTTCAAAGACTTTACAGTCTGTTCTCTGCCTTCACTGACTCCAAGAGTTAGTTCTCAAAGACTTCTCAATATTTTCATAATTAGCTGCCCAGAATTTTCATAATTGGTAAACACAGTAAAATGGCTGTGAGACACTTAGTATGGTAAAAGTGGAGCGGGAAGAAAGACCACCAGCTTCCTTAAACCATTTACATTTGACTTGGGGAGAAAGCTGGGCCTGTGCCCATAGCAGTTAAATGATCAGGCGCACGACTCAAAGTGATTTTTCTTGAGGTGTCAGTGCCACACACAACCACCATGTGTTCTTTCTTGGCTCAGGCTGGCGTCGCTGATCTTCCAGAACTCTGAAGGCTGTACCCCAGCCCCAGTTTTACATCCACTTTTCTCTGCCAAGGTGAAGGCGGCAAAAACCACACGTGTTTTTCTTTCTCCCCTCTCTCGGCAGAGCTGATTGCCTCCCGATGAAGCATCTTCCACATCAGCGAGCGTTGGTATTTCACCTGGCACAATGGCCAGGATGGATATGGCACACAGGGGAGGGCACAATGGAAAACAAGTCTTCGCCGTAACTCAAGTTGACGCTGCCAGACGGCAGTACCTTCCCATATTCTGAGGCCAAGCTGCCAGCTGACGCACTGAAATTTTGAGCAAGAAAATGTTGGGGAAAGCTAAGAGCAAGAGTAAAGAAAAATGGAAAAAAAAAATTATGGAGGGTCAAAAGTATGCTTTTAACTAAATAAGAAAAATAGCAAGATAGGAGAAATCTGCAGATAGGCAGAATATAAGATTTATTGATGGTTTTTCAAAATGTAGTTTCAATTTGTTCCACACAAACATATACACCTGCAGGTTAATTTAAATTAGTTATGGTTTCCAACACATTTACTGTTTTGTATTCAGTTTTATTTCTTACATCCTGCTTCTTTTCTCTGAATTATTTTGCTGAAGAGCACAGTTTAGTGACTTTAAAAAATATCTTTGGGGGTATTTATGTTTGAACATGTCTTCATTTTTGCCTCCATTCTTCACGACATAATAGTTCTTTTGTTAGGCATATGTCTTTGCATTTTTAATATTTTTTCTTCATTCTTCCAATCTTATTGTTTAGTATGATATATCTGGCTGAGGTATGTATGTGTTCTCTTCTTAAGCTACTGTACACATTTAGTCTGAGAATCTGAGGGTTTGTACATTTATTTTTCTAATGCTTTCTATTGTTGCTGTAAAACTATCTTCTCTGCTATTCTGTCTCTTTGCTTCTAGGACTTCTCATTTCATTCTCCACGTTGTTTAACTTCTTTCATATTTTTAATAGTCTCTTTATGCTCTAGCTATTACTTCCTAGTTCACTAATTATTTTTTAGACTTGATCAAGACTAAACTTTATCCTATGTATTGTTTGCTTTTGTTTCACCATATTTCTTTTTATGATTTTGAATTTTTCTGTTTTATATATGTGTATTTTTATTAATATCTGCCTGCTTTTACTTCAAAAAAATCTCTTTTTTATGAATGTTTTTCACTACTTTCTATGGCTACGGATTCTAAATATAATTTAAAGTAACTTCAGCCTACTCTATTATTTGCCTTCTAGTACAGTGTGAATTCTCTTGATCATGGTTTGTTGATTATCTTTCTTAGTATGCTTTGAAATTTTAGATTGCAGACATAGTTTAGTCAGTGGATGTTTTGTTTCTGTCTCTGGATCTCTTTTTAGCCAGTAGTTCTGAGAATGACTCCTCCTGCCCACTCAGGGTGGCTCTATTATGTGATATGGGGCTAATGCTGATAGTCGCTGAGTCAGCAGATGATTTGACCCAGGTCCTTGTCTATTTCTGTGCTTGTCTCTGCTCCTGCTCATGTCCCCAGGTAGTTTTCTATGAGCTGCAGTCCCAGGAAACAATCCAGCCCTTTTCCTTGGATGGCAGTACCATAGAAGCCGCTGGCTTTGCATGTTATATCTGGCATCAGTTTTCCACCTGATAAGAGACTGATTATGTCTCTATTAAGCTGTCAGTTAAGTCCTGTGTTGAAATCAAACTTCAACACAATAGTGTTATTTTTATTGCTGGAGCTCAGCAGTACTAGCTATTTATCCTCTACTTTCTGTAATGTGTTTCTGTTCTATTTCACGTTCATGGAAGTGTTCATCTAGAGAGTAAACAACCCTGTGCTGTTTTGTTTTCCTTTAATATTATTACCAATGACTGCTACATGTTTGAAACAGTGCTAGGAAACATGGTCTCTGTGTCATGAGGACTGGAAGTCAGAGCCCATCTTTTTTTTTTTTTTTTTTTTTTTTTTTGTCATTGTCGTAAACATCTGCCTTGGATTGAGCAATGAAGTCATCCACCTCCTGGTGTAGTTTCAGTTATGTAGTGGTATCAGAAACCAAACTATGACCTTCTTCTTTGACTTTTGCACAGTGATACTGCTCTTTGTCTACAACATTTTGATTATATCTCAACTGTAGCACTTGCGCAACTGTAATATAAGTTTCTGTGTCTTTGGTGGTTTTCTCCATTCGCCTTGGCAATTTGGGGCCAGAAGTGTATATCCCTAGAATCTGGCAGGGCAATCTTGATGAAGTCAACAAACAAATTAATAAATGGATGAAGAATTAATAAATCAAGGGATAGGAGAGTGAAGGAGTTAGATCCTTATCTCATTTTCCTCACTGTTCTTTCTCTATTTTTTTCTTTATCTCTGTGTCACCCTTTCCATGATCTGGAGTATTCTAGAGCCTTCTCATTATTCCTCTATGTTTATTTGCTAAAAACGAGACTAGAATTGGTCATCTGTGCATATTTTTCTCAATTTATTTGATATTTGACTTTTCAATTCCCATTCTATATCTTAAATTCTGGGTCTACTTCACTTAAATAATATTGTGCCACTGCATCACATTCATCAAGTTTAACAATATTTTCCTCTGAAAGCAGCTCTTGCACTTGGCTTCTGAATATCTGCCAAGGGTACTATTCTTCTCTCAGCCATGCTCAAAGTATCAGAGCCATCTCAGACACTGAGTCGTATTACATTGTCCTTTCTAATGCTTTTCAAAATTACCTATTAAACTAAAAAAACTAAACAATGCTGCTGCTGATAATAATAATAGTCAACAATACATTAACACCAATAATAGCTAAACTTCTGTCAAATGGACCTGTCAAACTTCTTCCATCAAACTTCTTCCTATGGATCAGGTGATACTTTAAGTGCTTTTTGCTTTTTAAAACTCATTTAATCCTCAAAACAGGAGGTGTCATTACTGATAGTACTATTAAGATTCTCATTTTGTAGATGAGTGAAATATGAAGCACAGTAGAACCATAGCTGAGTCTTGATTATAATGATATCATCCATACAGGAATCCTGGACTTGTTAGGTCAATGATTTGCAGTGGAAACCCTTTAGGTGTAAGGTACCTGTCCATTTCTGGGCTGGAAAAGATAAATCAACAATTTTTTTCAGTTTTGTTTTCAAATTTATGAAATAGTCAACATTCTCCAAAAGAATGAGATCTGGTATATGTTTGTGTGGGTGGAGAAGTTTTGAGGTTTGTCTACATCTTAGAAATTACATCCAGTTTTGTTGACAATATTAGGGTCACCCAGGCTTTCTTTAAATTTTGTCCCATTATGATTTCATGCTAAAACAATGGGTCATTAGGCCAGAGAGCTGAGAGATGGAACTTGTTTTGGCCTCCAATGTAGGCATTTTGCTGAGTCAAGGTAAAGGTCTATCAACAAATTAGGTGTTCCTTTTCTTAACACAATCTTTAATTCCCCCTACAGAGAAGGACCCCAAAGTCCTCTTCCATAAAGGATAATGCCTAGAATAGCTTGAAAGATGGATGCTTCTCTACATCACCAACATGTTAGTAGTCCCCCAGAATTTACAAAACAAAACTGGGAAGTCAAATGTCCAACAATGATAGACTGGATTGAGAAAATGTGGCACATATACACCATGGAATACTATGCAGCCATAAAAAATGATGAGTTCATGTCCTTTGTAGGGACATGGATGAAATTGGAAATCATCATTCTCAGTAAACTATCACAAGAACAAAAAACCAAACACCGCATCTTCTCACTCGTAGGTTGGATTGAACAATGAGAACACATGGACACAGGAAGGGGAACATCACACTCTGCAGACTGTTGTGGGGTGGAGGGAAGGGGGAGGGATGGCTTTAGGAGATATACCTAATGCTAAACGACGAGTTAATGGGTGCAGCACACCAGCATGGCACATGTATACATATGTAACCTGCACATTGTGCACATGTACCCTAAAACTTAAAGTATAATAATGATAAAATTAAAAAAAAAAAGTTGTCCAGAAGATTTCTGAGAGAGTAAGACATAGCATATCAAGCATAGAATTCAGGCCTGGTGTGATGGCTCATGCCTGTAATCCCAGCACTTTGGGAGACCAAGGCAGGAGGATAACTGGAGGCCAAGTGTTTGAGACCAGCCTCAGTGACATAGTGAGATGATGCTACCTTTAAAGAAAAAAAAAAAATTTGCCAGGCATGGTGGTGCATGCCTGTATTCACAGCTACTCAGGAGGATGAGGAAGGAGAATCCCTTAATCCCTTGAGCCCGGGAGTTTGAGGCTGGAGTAAGCTGGGATCACGCCACTCCACTCTAGCCTAGGTGATAAAGCGAGACCTTGGCTCGCTCGCTCGCTCGCTCTCAAAAAAAAAAAAAAAAAAAAAAAAGGAAGGAAGAAAGTATATGGAGGTGAGCGTTGTTCCTTAGAGGATGATATCTGAATGGCAGGACAAAACAAGACACTATCAACCCCTCCCCAGCCAGAAGATGGATGGTTAATACCTGGGTCTTTTTGAGGTGAGAAAGATTATTCATCTTGTTGTCTTCTAAATTCAGTGTCTTCTGTCTATATATTATATAGTCTGGCTTTGTGTCCCCACCCAAATCTCACCTTGAATTGTAATTGTAATTGGATTATGGGGGCAGTTTCCCCCATACTTTTCTCGTGATGGTGAGTGAGTGTCACAAGATCTGATGGTTTTAAAAATGGAAGTTTTTCCTGGGCTAGCATTCACTCTCTTTCCTGCTGCCTTGTGAAGAAGGTGACTGTTTCCCCTTCAGCCATGATTGTAAGTTTCCAGAGGCCTCCCCAGCCATGCAGAACTGTGAGCCAATTAATCCCCTTTCCTTTATAATTACCCAGTCTGAGGTAGTATCCTTTTTTTTTTCTTTTTTCTTTCTTTCTTTTTTTTTTTTTTTTTTTTTTTTTAGACAGAGTCTTACTTTGTTGCCCAGGCTGGAGTGCAGTGGCGCAATCTCAGCTCACCTCAACCTCTGCCTCCCGGTTCAACTGATTCTTGTGCCTCAGCTTCCCCAAAGTTAGCCTCAGCCTCCCAAAAAATTAGCCTCAGCCTCCCAAAAATTAGCCAAGAATGGTGGTGCATGCCTGTAACGATTACACCACCATGCCTGGCTAATTTAATCCTTACAGGCATGCACCACCATGTCTGGCTAATTTTTATATTTTTAGTCTACTCACCATGTTGGCCAGGCTGGTCTCAACCTCCTGGCCTCATGTGATCCACCCACCTCGGCCTCCCAAAAATGCTGAGATTACAGGTGTGAGCCACTGCACGCGGCCTCTCAGGTAGTATTCTTTATAGCAGTGTGAGAATGGACTAATACAATACATAATGGACTAATGTAATATATATTCACTCTGTGTTCCAATATCCATTGACCTATAGAGACCCTAGTCTCTCTGTGTGCAGTTGAGAAAGTCACTCCTCTGAGCCATGTCATAAAGGAAGCTTAGGACCCGTAGGAGACACTACAGCTCTTGATAAAACCTGGACACTGAGAAATTAGAATCCAGAGGAGCAATCCGGGAAACGAGCCTCTAATCAATTGACAAAGATTTTCAGCCGGACAAAACTGGCAATAGCTCAGCTCCATCCCTCATAGCCAAGGTGATCTAAAGAAGGTGCTGGTGTCCTTAACAACTTGTCATCCTTAACAGATTCTTACCCATGGCCTAGGTCAAACTTCAGCATGCATCAGCATTATCTACCCGGAGGGCTTGTGAAAACAGATTGCTGGGTCTCATTTTCTGTTTCTGATTCGGTAGATCTGCAGTGGGCTGACAACTTTTATTTCTAACAAATTTCCAAATGCTGCAGATATTGCTGATCTGAAGGTCCCGCTTTGAACACTTGATCTAGGCTACAAATAAGTGTACTTGCATTGTAGGAACTCAAGAAATCTACAACTTCTACCCTATGTGCTTTATCTCTCTTCTTTTTTTCCCCCTCAGATAACTTTGTTTTTTAAATGATGTTGTCTTATATCTTAAATTTTCCTTCCTTCCTGGTCCGTTGTTGTTATTTTTTATTTTTTATTTTAGAATGAGACAGGGTTTTACTCTGTTGCCCAGGCTGGAGTGCAGTGGCATGATCATGGCTCACTGCAACCTCCACCTCCTGGGTTTGAGGGATTCTCCTATCTCAGCCTCTCAAGTAGTTGGGACCACAGGCACATGCCACCACATCTGGCTAATTTTTTGTATTTTTGGTAGATATGGGGTTTCGCCATATTGTCCAGGTTGGCCTTGAACTCCTGGCCTCAAGTGATCCACCTGCCTCAGACGTTCAAAGTGCTAGGATTATAGGCATGAGCCACTGTGCCTGACGCTGGGCTGTTGTTTTTAATGCAAGTTTAGTTACCTGATCTTAATATTATCCTCCACATCCAAGCCATAGTGTTTTTAAAATGCAAATTTGATCATTTCCCTAATTAAAACCTTTCAAGCATGTCCCATGTGCTTAGAGTATATTATAAGGGAAGCCTTCTGCCCATCTCTTCAGCTTTCTACTTTGCTTTATCAGCTAGAATGCTCTCATTTACAAGTAATAAAAGTAACTAAATGCATAACACAGCGTCCCAACACTCAGTGTGGCTTAAAACAATTTATTATTTAACATTGATTATTGCTTATGAGTCCATGGGTCGTCTGGGCAAATCTTCTGGTCTTGGCTGGACTCACATATATGTCTGTGGTCAGCTGTTGGTTGGGTCGGCAGCTCTGCTGATTTTGGCTTGGCTGTCTCTCGTGTTTGGGTGTCGGCTAACTGTAGACGAGTCTAGGATGGCCTCAGCTGAGACAGCTCGGCTCTCTTCCATGCGGTCTTTCATTATCTACAGGCTGGCCCGGGCTGGTAGTCATGACAGTGGCAGGATTCCAATAGAACAGAGACACTCAAGGTCTCTTGTGGTCTAGGCTCAGAACCAGCACACCATTAGTTTTGTCACGTTCTATTGGATAAAGCAATTTTTGTAGTTAGAGTGGGCAGATCCTACAAAGCTGCAAGGCAAAGAGCTTGGATCCAGAAACATCATTAATTGGGACCATCAATGCAATCAACCTGCCATAGTAAACAATATAAAATTTGCTTAAACCCTACATGGATTAATTATCTCACATGCTAGGAAGCCAAGATGAAGTGTGGACTACAGAGTTGTTTGACTAAATGACTCAACAATGTCATCAAGAACGTAGACACTTTCCAAGTTTCCTCTCAGCTATTCCGCTATTGGCTCAACCTTGCACTGGCTCATTTCAAGGTCTCAAATGGCTATCAGCAATAATTGAAAAAATACACTTCAGTGTTCATATTTGGTAAACTGTTTTATCCAAGAGCTTAGAGAAAGCCTCTTCTGTGTTGCATTGGTTCAAATTGGCTTATGCCTCCCTATTTCCAAACCAATCACTTGCTTTGAAATGCAAGTTAGAGACTTCCATACCAAACGTGGCTTAAACAACTGGAGGCCATTCATATCTCATATACAAAGATTAGAGTTGTGACAGTTCCGGGATAGGTTCATCAGGTTAATAATGGCATAAGAAAATCAAACTCTTTCCATTTTTTTTTTTTTTGTTATCCTTAGGGTTGACATTCTCCCCACCTCATGCTGCAACTCTAAGTATCATGTCCTTACTCAACACCCAAATTCTGGAAGAAGGAATGTGGAGAAGAGAGTTAGTCTCATGCTTTCTCTAATTCTACCTCAAAGGTCCCAGAGCAGATTTCTCCTTAGGTCTAATTGGTTGCATTCCTACTCCTGGCCTCAAGGGAAGCTGGAAAAATGAGCATCTGTATCTGCTTTCTCTCTCGTGGGAGGCAAACTATTTCAGCATGAATGAAAAAACTAAAAATGGCTATTGTGTGTGCCAAACTTTTTGTCACACAAATTTCAACACACCAAAATGCTATCTCTTTAAATAAAGGTCTACACAACACTAATTACTTGGTGTTCATTTATTGAATTCCTAGGCAACTGAGGGTGTGGACATTTCTTATGCTATTATCAGAGAACAAAGGTATTTCTGAAAAGCAGAAAGAAATAGATATATTCAGGTATTACTGGTAGATTAGGACATCAATTTTCTTTGGAAAAAGTTTTCAGGTTAACCTTCTTATTCATTGTCTGTGACTGAGTCACAGATAAATGAGGCTAAAACACTGATCCTCTGTGAAGTTAAGTGTCCAGTGTGAAGTTAGCCTGAGTTACCATGCTCTTGCAGGTAACCCTTTCATGCATAGAACTTGTGTGTAGAAACAACTAATACTCTGTTATATGTGCATCGCACACCAGCCACTCCTGTTTCAGTTTGGTAGGATGTGTCCTGTATCTTTGTTCTATCTTTTCATCTGTCATTCATCACATATCATTGCATTGATTGATGTACAACCCTCTTCTCAGGCTGCCTGTCACTTAGTAAGAATCATAATAAATTCTAAGTTCTACAAATGAGTTGTTGAATGAATGTGTTGTTATCCTTTTCAAGTTTTCCATTGCATCTAAGCAGGCTTGTACTAAACTCGAGAACCAGATGGTTAAAGGAAGAGTTTAGGGGCACAGAAGTCATCAGATCATTGTCATATAAGAAATATGAAAAATGATACAATAGAGTTTTGGGCAAAGACTTTCTCATGTTGCAAAGATTTCCAATTACATAGTGGTTTTAGCCACAGATAGATTCATCAATTGCTAAACAGAACTCTCACTTTCTTCTTGTTGGTGCCTTTAAAAAATGTCGCTAAGGGAAAACATTGAAAACTATTTGTCTAAGAGCATGTTACCAGACACTCTATCTTGCTTATTTTCCCCTAATGGAATATAAATGGTGGGTTATGAGTCACCCATCACCATTCACCATCTTAAGCTCAACTATCAAATGCTGGCTTGGAGGAATGAGAGGCATGTGGTGCAGAAAAAGAGGGTATGTCAGAGAAGCCTGGAAACAAAGGGTACCTGAAGGTCAGTCAATGCTTTTTCCTTGTTGTTTAAGCCAGAGCTTCCTCTTTGAGGGGGCTGTGATTTCAGCCTCTTCAGTTGGGAGCTTAGTTGAACAACAGGAATGATTAGTTCATTTCCCAGTCAGAGTTTATTGTTGCAGGAATGGTTTTAATATACACAGGGCTTTGGCTTTGGTTTTTGCTTTCAAACTCCAGCAAGTCTTGAGTTGTTTATTGAATTTATGTTGAGAAACAGAACACAGAGATGAAGCTAATAATTGGCAAGAGTCCCAGTCCTTGTGTCGTTATGGTCATTAATTAGGATAAGGGTAATGCAGGGAAAGGTTGCTGATTTGAAGCACTTGTGTCCAGAGATTTTTTTGGAGAAGGAGTTATAATGAAGAGTTCAATTTGCTTTTTGTTCATAAACATAGAGATTGCATTAGAAAACAGAAATGATGCATACTTAATAGATTTTTTTTTTTTTTTTCGAGACAGTCTCACTCTTTCATCCAGGCTGGAGTACAGTGGCTTGATCTCGGCTCACTGCAAACTCCGCTTCCCAGGTTCAAGTGATTCTCCAGTCTCAGCCTCCTGAGTAGCTGGGATTACAGGCATGTGCCACCACATCCAGGTACATTTTTGTATTTTTAAAAGAGATGGGGTTCTGCCATGTTGGCCAGGCTGGTCTCAAACTTCTGACTTCAAGCAGTCCATCTGCTTTGGCCTGCCAAACTGCTGAGGTGATAGGCTTGAGCCACTGCACCCCGCCTGATATTTTGTTTCATTGGTAAATTTGCCAAATGAGAATAAACTGAGCTTTTTCTTCATTATTATTTTCAACCCCAAACCTCACTGTATTAATCAGTGGAATACTTAGGATAAGAGCATCTTCACTGAAAATTCACAGCAAAATAATTACTAGGCTGCATACTCCACTCATCTTCCTCTTCAGAAACCAGAGGCTGATGTCATAACAAAAGGCTGATGTCATATCTTCCATGGAGCACGGTTCTATTCTACTGGAGAAGGAACAGTTTCCCAGTGCCACGTAGAAGGGCTTGATTCCTTCATAGAATGGGAGAGGTTCCTGGCACTTTGACCCCCTTAGGAGCCCTGCATCTAGGAAATTTAGATCGACATTGATGGGTTTTTCTTATTCTCTTTTATTTTTTTTTTTTAATTTATGGAAAGTTCTAAAGTTTCCCAATTCTGATTTGTAATAAGTATAAACATAATGTTAGCTCAGAAATGTTGTCTGGTTATTTCTTATTTTCCCTCTAGATGTGTCTGTGGTAATAGGGTGGGATGGTGAATGGGGACAGCACAGTTTTCTTTCTTTTTTTAATTATACTTTAAGTTCTAGGGTACATGTGCGCAACGTGTAGCTTTGTTACATATGTATACATGTGCCATTGCAAACTATCGCAAGGACAGAAAACCAAACAACGTGTGTTCTCACTCATAGGTGGGAATTGAACAGTGAGCATAGTTTTCTAATCCAATGGCTTGTCCTGGATGAGCAAATGTATATTTCTTTTCAGCTTAGTTACTTTTGAAGTGAAATAGTAAAACGGAAGGGAGCTATAGTAGATACTGAAATGTAAAGTAATACAGCATGGACATGAAATAATACAAAATTAAAATTCTGAAGATCTTTTTTATTTGTGAGATGACTTCCATATTTTATGTCTCTTGCAACATATTTAGGTACTCTGTGCTGCATGTCATCCTTTCATCTGGACACAAAGTGAAAAAACAAATTCTCTCATTCTCTCTTAGAGTCCTTACAATCAATGGCCTTCACATTACCCTTTGTAAGACATTTACATGGAAACCTCAGGAGATTTTTAAATTGAAAATCCTAGTGCCTGGCAGGGTGTGGTGGTGTTGTCTAAGACGCTGTAATGACAATGGTGTGTGTGGGTGTAATAGATGGCAAGATCCCACAGGGCATCTATCTTCAGCCACTTGAAGTGCCAAGATTACTAACCACACCCTATCTTGGTTTGGAATCTCTTCACAGAACAGGATACTCCCAGACCAAAGCTTAAATGAGTCCCCTTCTCTGAATAGAAAAAGTGTACATAGAACCAAGTCCACTCCCATTTCTAGTGTCTGGTCTATTGGAATACAGATGAAAAATGCATACTTTGGTATGAAGCTTGTTTTTGTTATAGGTGGGATTAGTTAGAGATTAGCATAGAAAGAGAGCCGAGGCCTATGTCTGGCAGGGCATCTGGTAAGGCTCTTCATTTTGCAGGCTTGCCTTGGGAATTACTTCCTTATTTATGTTAGCATTATTGGATCTTTCGTCTACATTTTAGATACCATTTTCTGATTTTTGTCATGAAATATGTATATATTTTATATATGCTTTATCTCATTGAGCATTTTTCAAATTTAATTTAATTTAAGTTCGGGGATACATGTGGAGGATGCGCAGATTTGTTACATAGGTAAAACATGTGCCATAGTGGTTTGCTGCACCTATAAACCCATCACCTAGGTATTAAGCCCAGCATGCATTAGCTATTTATCCTGGTGCTCTCCCTCCCTTCACTTGCGCGCAAGAAGCCCCAGTGTGTGTTATTCCCCTCCGTGTGTCTGTGTGTTCTCATTGTTCAGCTCCGACTTATAAGTGAGAATATGCAGTGTTTGATTTTCTGTTCTGGTGTTAGTTTGCTGAGGATAATGGCTTCCAGCTTCATCCATGTCCCTACAAAGGACATGATCTTGTTCCTGTTTATGGCTGCATAGTATTCCATGACATATATGTACCACATTTTCTTTATCCCATCTATCATTAATGGACATTTGGGTTGATTCCATGTCTTTGCTAGTGTGAATAGTGCTGCAATTAACATACAAGTGCATGTATCTTTAAAAGAGAATGATTTGTATTCCTTTGGGTATATACGCAGTAATGGGATTGCTGGGTCAAATGGTATTTCTGGCTCTAGGTCTTTAGGAATTGGCACATTGTCTTCCACAATGGTTGAACTAATTTACATTACCACCAACAGTGTAAAAGCATTTCTATTTCTCCACATCCTCGCCAGCATCTGTTGTTTCTTGACTTTTTAATAATCTCCTTTCTGACTGGTGTGAAATGGTATCTCATTGGGGTTTTGATTTGCATTTCTCTAATAATCAGTGACGTTGAGTTTTTTTCACATGTTTGTTGGCTGTATAAATGTCTTCTTTTGAGAAGTATCTGTTCATGTCCTTTGCCCACTTTTTAATGGGGCTATTTTTTTTTCTTGTAAATTTGTTTAAATTCCTTGTAGATTCTGGATATTAGACCTTTGTCAGATGGTTAGATTGCAAAAATTTTCTCCCGTTCTGTAGGTTGTCTGTTTATTCTGATGATAGTTTATTTTGCTGTGCAGAAGTTCTTTAGTTTAATTAGATCCCATTTGTCAATTTTTGCTTTTGTTGGAATTGCTTTTGGTGTTTTATTCATGAAGTCTTTGCCCATGCTTATGTCCTGAATGGTATTGCCTAGATTTTATTATAGGGTTTTGGTTGTTTTGTGTTTCACATATAAGTCTCTAATCTATCTCGAGTTAATTTTTGTATAAAGTGTAAGGAAGGAGCCCAGTTTCAGTTTTCTGCATATGGCTAGCCAGTTCTCCCAGTACCATTTATTAAATAGGGAATCCTTTCCCCATTACTTGTGTTTGTCAGGTTTGTCAAAGGTCAGATGGTTGTAGATGTGTGGTCTTATTTCTGAGGTCTCTATTCTGTTCCATTGGTCTATATGTTTGTTTTTGTACCAGTACCATGCTGTTTTGGTTACTGTAGACTTGTAGTATAGTTTGAAGTCAACTAGCATGATGCTTCCAGCTTTGTTCTTTTTGCTTAGGATGGTCTTGGATATAAGGGCTCTTTTTTGGTTGCATATGAATTTTAAAGTAGTTTTTTCTAATTATATGAAGACTGTCAATGGTCATTTAATGGGAATAGCATTGAATCTATAAATTATTTTGGACACTATGGCCATTTTCACAATATTGATTCTTCCTATCCATGAGCATGGAATGTTTTTCCATTTGTTTGTATTTTCTCTAATTTCCTAGAGCAGTGGTTTGTAGTTCTCCTTGAAGAGGTTCTTCACTTCCCTTGTTAGCTGTATTCCTAGGTGTTTTATTCTATTTATAGCAATTATGAATAAGAGTTCATTCATGATTTGGCTCTCTGCTTGTCTATTGTTGTTGTACAGGAATGCTTGTGATATTTGCACAATGACTTTGTATCCTGAGACTTTGCTGCAGTTGCTTATCAGCTTAAGAAGCTTTTGGGCTGAGACAATACGGTTTTCTAGATATAGGATCATGTCATCTGCAAACAGACAGTTTGACTTCCTCCCTTCCTATTCAAATACGCTTTCCTTCTTTCTCTTGTCTGATTGCCCTAGCCAGAACTTCCAATACTATGTTGAAGTGAAGTGGTGAGAGAGGGCATCCTTGTCTCGTGCTGATTTTCAAGGGGAATATTTCCAGCCTTTGTCCATTCAGTCTGATATTGGCTATGGGTTTGTCATAAATGGCTTTTATTATTTTGAGGTATTTTCCATTAATATCCAGTTTATTGAGTTTTTAACATGAAGGGATGTAGAATTTTATCAAAGGCCTTTTCTTTGTCTATTGAGATAATCATGTGGTTTTTGTCTTTAGTTCTGTTTATGTGATGAATTATATTTATTGATTTGTGGATGTCGAACCAGCCTTATATCCTGGGGATGAAGCCAACTTGATCATGGTGGGTAAGAGTTTTCATGTGCTGCTGGATTCAGTTTGCCAGTATTTTATTGCGAATTTTTTGCATTGATGTTCATCAGGAATATTGGCCTGAAGTTTTCTTTTTTGTTGTATCTCTGCCAGATTTTGCTATCATGATAATGCTGGCCTTATAAAATGAGTTAGAGATATGTCCCTCCTTTTCAATTGGATTAGTTCAGAAGAAATGATAACAGCTCCTCTTTGTATCTCTGGTAGAATTCTGCTGCAAATCTGTCTGGTTGTGGGCTTTTTTGGTTGACAGACTGCTACTTATTACGGCCTCCATTTCAGAACTTGTTAATGGTCTACTCAGGGATTCAGCTTCTTCCTGGTTTAGTCTTGGGAGGGTGTATGTGTCCAGGAATTTATCTATTTCTTCTAGATTTTCTAGTTTATGTGCATTGATGTGTTTATAGCATTCTCTGATGGTTGTCTGTATTTCTGTGGGGTCAGTGGTAATATCCCCTTTATCATTTTTTATTGTGTCTATTTGATTCTTCTATCTTTTCGTCATTAGTCTAGCTAGTGGTCTATTGATTTTATTAATTTTTCCAAAAAAACTCCTCCTGGATTCATTGATTTTTTGAAGTGTTTTTGTGTCTCTGTCTCCTTCAGTCCTGCTCTGATCTTGGTTATTTCTTGTCTTCTGCTAGCTTTGGGGTTTCTTTGCTCTTGGTTCTCTAGTTATTTTATTAATAGTTGTGACTTTAGTGTGTCAATTTAAGACCTTTCTAGTTTTTCTATGTGGGCATTTAGTGCTATAAATTTCCCTCTTAACACTACTCCAGCTGTGTCCCAGAGATTCTCGTATGCTGTCTCTTTGTTCTCATTGGTTTCAAATAACTTCTAGATTTTTGCCTTAATTTTATTATTTACCCAAGAGTCATTCAGAAGCAGATTGTTCAATTTCCATGTAGTTGTATGGTTTTGAGCAAGTTTCTTAATCTTGAGTTCAACTTTGATTGTGCTGTGGTCTGAGAGACTGTTATTGATTTCAGTTCTTTTGCATTTGCTGAGGAGTGTTTTACTTCCAATTATGTGATCACTTTTAGAGTAAGTGCCATATGACACCAAAAAGAGTGTATATTCTGTTTTTGGGTGAAGAGTTCTGTAAATACCTATCAGGTACACTTGATTCAGAGCTGAGTTCAAGTCCTGAATATCCTTGTTAATTTTCTGTCTCAATTATCTGTCTAATATTGACTATGGAGTATTAATGTCTCGTGCTATTATTGTATGGGAGTCTAAGTCTCTTTGTAGGTCTCTAAGAACTTGCTTTATGAACCTAGGAGCTCCTGTATTGGGTGCACATATATTTAGGATAGTTAGCTCCTCTTGTTGAATTGATCCCTTTACTGTTAAGTAATGCCCTTCTTTCTCTTGTTGATATTTGTTGGTTAAAGTCTGTTTTGTCAGAAACTAGGATTGCAACCCCTACTTTTTTCTGCTTTCCATTTGCCTGGTAAATTTTACTTCATCATTATATTTTGAGCCTACATGTGTCTTTGCACATGAGATGGGTCTCTTGAATACAGCACACTGATGGGTCTTGACTCTATCCAGTTTGCCATTCTGTGTCTTTTAATTGGGGGCATTTAGCCTATTTATATTTAAGGTTAGTATTGTTATGTGTGAATTTGATCCTGTCATCATGATGCTAGTTAGTTATTTCACAGGCTTGTTGACGTAGTAGCTTCATAGTGTCATTGGTCTTTGTACTTCAGTGTGTTTTTGTGGTGGCTGATGACAGTTTTTCCTTTTCATATTTAGAGCTTCCTTCAGGAGCTCTTGCAAGGCAGGCCTGGTGGTGACAAATTTCCTCAGCATTTGCTTGTCTGAGAAGGATTTTATTTCTCCTTTGCTTATGATGCTAGGTTTGGCCAGATATCAAATTCTAGGTTGGACATTGTTTTCTTTAAGAATATTAAATATTGGCCCCCAATCTCTTCTGGCTTATAGGGTTTGCACTGAGAGGTTTGCTTGTTAGTAGGATGGTCTTCCGTTAGTGGGTGACCTGGTCTTTCTCTCTGGCTGTCCTTAACATTTTTTTTCCTTCATTTTGACCTTGGAGAATCTAATGATTTTATGTCTTGGGGTTGATCTTCTCATGGAGTACCTTACTAGCGTTCTCTGGATTTCCTGAATTTGAATGTTGGCCTCTCTTGTTGGGTTGGGGAAGTTCTCCTGGATGATATCTTGAGGTATGTCTTCTAACTTGGTTCCGTTCTCCATGTGTCTTTCAGGTACCTCAATCAGTTGTGGGTTTGATCTTTTTACATAATCCCATAGTTTTCAGAGGTTTTGTTTGTCCTTTTTATTCTTCTTTTCTATAATCTTATCTGCCTGTCTTATTTCAGCAAGATAGTCTTCAAGCTCTGAAATTCTCTCCTCTGCTTGATCTATTCAGTTATTGATACTCATGGTTGCATTGTGAAGTTCTTGTGTTTTTCAGCTGCATCAGGGCATTTCTATTCCTCTCTAAACTGTTTATTCTGGTTGACAGCTCCTGTAATGCTACACTATCATTAGACTAGAAACCCCAGTAATCTTGATTTTAGTTGATTAACTTTGAATGTCATGACTCATTCCAAAGAAATATTCTGCACAGATAAAACTAATGTAAAATTAAAAGAAGCATCAGTGAAGATCCAGATTCTTAGGTTCTTTGCATTAGGTTAGAACATGCTCTTTTAGCTCAGCAAAGTTTGTTATTACCCACCTTCAAAGCCCACTTTTGTCAATTCATCCGTCTCAGCCTCTGCCCAACTCTATGCCCTTGTTGGAGAAGTGTTGTGATCATTTGGAGGAGAAGAAGCATCTGGCTTTTTGAGTTTTCAGTGTTTTTTCATTGATTCTTTCTAATCTTCATGAGTTTATTTAGCTTTGATCTTTGAGGCTGCTGACCTTTGGATGGGGTTTTCGTGGGGTCTTTTTTGTTGATGCTGTTGAGATATATATTATATATATAATATATAATTATATAAATATATAATTATATATTATATATTATATATTATATAATATATATAATTATATATTATATAATATACTTATTATATATTATATATAATATATATAATATATTATATATATTATATATAATATATATATAAATAAAATATATATAATATGTATATAATATATATTACTTGGCATAGATTAAAATCTTCAGGAAAATAAGCAATTACCTACCAGAAGTTAGAGTGACCAAACTGACTTCCTCTCATCCTCCCCTTGTCCCTTCTTCCCTTAATTGGAAGCCTATGGTTGAAATCTGAATCTTCATTGATGCTTCTTTTAATTTTACGTTAGTTTTATCTGTGTAGAATATTTCTTTGGAATGAGTCATGACATTCAAAGTTAGTCAACTAAAATCAAGATTACTGGGGTTTCTAGTCTAATGATAGTATAGCAAGATTGTCCTAGAGCTGGGTTTCTTTGGCAAACTTGATTGGACAATTAAATTATAGGGATGATGATATTATTATTAAGAAAATAATATTGTGTGTGTTGGGGGCGGGTGTTGATTTTCTGCCTGTACTTTTGTCTTGTTGCAGAAGACAGCTGTTCTGCTCCCCAAGGCAATCCTTCCTAACTTTTTCAGCAGATTCTTTCAACATTTATGTACATATCTCTAATTAATGTTTGATAATATCACTATTTAAAAAAACTTTGCTTTAAAAATTATTTCTTAAACTACTATTATAGAAGATGGAGAGTTGGCTATCTTTTCCTTACTCCTTGTCTACAGGAATCTTATCAACTCTTCTTTAGAAGGGAGTAATTTGGTAATTGTTATTACATCAACATTCATTTCTGTATGATATTATAACTATGAAAACCTTAGTCACAGCTGAGTCATATAGTATATTATAATCATTTTTCCTTTAAAAGTTTTTGTTGATGATAATTGCCTTATTCCTTTTTTGATTTCTTTGTACTGATTATTAATTCAAGCTGAATCTTTGCTTCAGCTCTGTCTGTTTCTCAGTAAGATTATAGATGTTCGATAATCTATCATTGTTGCCTTCTGACCTGGTCTTCTGAAACTTTCTAACATACTCTAGTCAAGGTGGATTGCTCTCTATATTAGCTGCACAGCTGCTGCCCTGGGATTTCTCTTAACCATCATCTTGATTTCCTTCATCTTTCCAAGCTGGTTTCCTATTTCCCAGAATTCATGTCTTATTTTTTCTGCATGGATGCTGTGATAGTAGGTATGGAGGAGTAAAGTTTTGACACCTTATACATCTAAAGATGTCTTGACTCTGCTTTCACGATGAATTGGGAATTTAGCAGGATGTATAATTTTTACTTTGGAAATACTTTTTTCTAACAATGTTGAAGATATTTCTCTACAGTATTTTGGTATCTACAGGTACTATTGAAAGAAAATATAATCATAGATTTCAGAACCTTATTATAAAATCCATTTTTCTACAAAATTATGGGATCTTAGTTGCAAGAGTAGACATTTTACAATGTTGTGTCTTGGAATAGATCCACTTTCATCCATTGTCCTGTGGACTCTCTGGACATTTTAAAACTATAAAACCTATCTTTTTTTTGGGGGGGGATGTTGTTTTGAAATTTTCATGTGATTATTTCCTTTCTATGATTCCTACTATTTTATTTGTTTTCTGTTTCTGATCTCCTCAACTTTATCCTTCACACTTTATATTGAATTTTTCAAAAATTTCTGCTCTTGTATTTTTAATTTCAAAAAGCATTTTTTTAATTCAACAAAGATACCTTTCCTCTAGCATTCACTTCTTCTTTGCATAAATACACTTCTTATCTCTTTGAAAATAATAAATTCTCTTCATTTAGTCACCTGTCTACTTGCTTAGTTTTTATTCACTTGCTTTTTTTTTTTTTTTTTTTTACTTGCATATTTTGTCTCTGTTTTCAATACCACATTTTTTTCCCTTCCAATGTCTGGGACTTGTTTACTGTGATCTTCCTGTAAGTCATATCCTTGTGCAAGCCCAAATACAGTATTTTAAATCTTAATTCTTGGTGTAGTCAGGTTTCCTAGAAGAGAGACTTTCTATTTTCTATATGGATGGCGAACTCCTGGCTTCCACAGTTCTAGAATCTAAGTGGGTGAAAAATGTTGGGAAGTACCTCTTCATCAATGGGCCTTATTTCTCAGTGTGGAGTCCTTTATGCTTTGCTCTTTTTAGAACATAAATCTCTAGTCTTTTGCTGGGATGGGGGATGGAAGCTTGCTTGGCTGCACATACAGATGTCACTACCCCTCACCAAGGTGATCCTGCAGTGGGGTCAGGGGAGTTCTACTTTTGTCTTAGATTTTCAACTAATCTTTTTTCCCCACCTTTACTTTTAATACCAGAAGTAACTGATGCTGCCAACTTCTAAATTTTTGAAAACATTGTATGGTACATAAAATGCCGTTTTGACCTCTTGCTTTGTCATTTTAGGATTCAGCGCTCTCTGGTATGCCAAATCCATGACCAGTGACCACTCATTCACAATCATCTGCCTTCTAGCTTAAAAGTCTGAACTCTGATCTTTTCATCTGTTTTTTTTTTTTTTTTTTTTTTTCTGGTGTGTGTGTGTTTTGGTCATTAAAAAATTTCCTTTATTGTCATTTTATTGATTTGTTTCCAAGAAATAGTAGCACAAAATTGCAGAGTACTAATGTTAATATTTATAATTACCTCTAGCATTAGTTCAAGTCTTCTAGGAAGCAGTTGTCATGATAGAACTAGATGTGCAAGGGATATACTGGGGGAAATGCCTGTAAAGGATAAAGAGGAGAGAGAACAGGAATAGGAGGGAAGAACCTTCAGAAGTGATGCAGTTCTTATGCTTGTGGAAGGAGAGAGAAAAGGAAGGAGATTTGAGTAGGAAGAGCCTCAGGCTACAACATAGCTCTGAGAAAGGCTTGGCCAGCCAGGCTGATGGGCAGTCCCAACACAAAGGTTGTCCATTACAAATGTTGCACATTGGGCCGAAATAGTCTTGCTCTAGAACCTGTTCTATGCTTCGTCATTGACTAAGAGCAGCTCAGGGAAAGAAAGGTCTTGAGGTGAATGTTGTGGTAGATCCCAAAGATGTGGCAGATGGAGACTGTCCACAGACTCTCCTTATAGCAGAGTCTTCCTGGAAGTAATATCTGGTCATTTCATGCCCATGACCACCACATCTCTACTCTACAAAAGCATCAATTGAGTACCAACTTTATGTAGAAGAAGTATGAGTGACTGTATTAGTCAATTTGGCTGCTTTAATAAAATACCAGAGACTGAATGGCTTATACACAACAGAAATTTATTTCTTACTGTTCTGGAGGCTGGATGTCTGAGATGAGGGTTGTATGAACAGCATGGTTTGATTCTGGCAAGGGCTGTCTTCCAGGTTCCAGATTGTTGACTTCTGGTTGTATGCACTTGATGAAAAGAGAATGTGCTGACTTTCTGGCCTCTTCTTACAAGGGTATGAATTCCACTCTTATTACATAATTACCTCCCAAAGATCCTACCTTCAAATACCATCACATTGGGGATTAAATGCCAATTTATGAGTTTTGGAGGGATACAGACATTCAGTCTACAACAGTTATTATTTAATATCTTTGCATAAAAGCAAAGTGATTATCTTTTCATGAAAGAATATACAATGTAGATTAGGAGAATGACATGGAGCACTAGAATTTCTCGTGTAAGCTGTTATTGAACTCTCATTTAATTCCATAGTAAAATAGAACATCACTAGCCCATTGCAAAAATCCTGACATTAGTAACTCAAAAATACATTATGATTATGTTTCCTTGCTCCTTCTCCATTGCCAATATTATTTGCTACCTGAACTATCTGAAATAACCTGTCAACTGGTCTTTTTAATTCTTCTCCTCCTGATGACCATTCATTTACCATCTAACAGCCCCAAGTGTGAACTTTTAAAAGTAGAATCAAATCTTGTTGTTTCTTCTAAGCACACTCTGCTGCTTTCAAACTGCTCTTTACGTGGCCTGCAAACCCTCACATGATCTGGTAAGTTTCTCTACCACAATCCCAGCCCTTCTGCCTCCAGAGCTTTGTGTTGTGTTTCTTTGGTCTTTGCCTTTTCCTTGCTCTTCCCACTGCCATCTCCTTCTCATTCTCTATATTTCAAATACTGTACAAGTTGCATACATTCGATTTGGTCTGCTTGTAACCCAGGGCAAAACCAAGACCCTGAGTTTTATGATCAGCCCAGGAAGTTCCTATTACCAATACTCAGATGTCCATCAACAGCTGCCTAACCTGAATAGAGCTGGTGTTTGCTCTCTTGGAAAGGCTGAGAAAAAAGAGAAAAATTAAAGAAGCTCTTCTGTCTTAGGTTCTTTCTGTCAACAGCCTAGTCAAATATTTCCTTTGTAAATGCAGATTTTCATGCAAACTGGTAGAGTGCTAAATATGAGAAGACATTGACATTTGGAGGAATGCCTGAATAAAATGAATTGTTTACACACAGTGTGACTGTACGCTTAATTTTTTATTATAGCTAAGTATGTATCTAGACTGCTTTCAGACCGGTGACCCATAATATAGTTCCTTGGGTACAGCAGGTTCTCAATAAAGTATCTTGAATGGAACATGTAAACACCAGAAGCACAGGATTTCTACGTAGATAACTATATTTCAATTTTGTGGTACCTAGCCTGTCACAAGTTGTGAGTACAATTTATTTACATATCCTGTTTTAAAAGTTGAGTACTCATGAATATTTGAGGAATGCTGGCTTGGTGGAAAGTGAAGTGATAGACACGGAGAGTTTATTACTCCCTGCTTCACTCATTCTTTCCTGTTTTTAAATTAATGTTCTTACCTACAAAAATGGGGAGGGTGAGAAAAAAGTCCCAAAGAGAGGAAAACAAGGAAATTTCCAGTAAATCCGTTGCTCCTTTTCCTATATTCTTATTTCTTTGTCATTTTTAAAAGAGAACAAATAGGAAGATAATTTGTTCCCTATCTTGTATACCATTGATATGGTTTGGCTCTGTGTCCCCACCCAAATCTCATGTTGAAGTGTGATTCTGAGTGTTGAAGTTGAAGCCTGGTGGGAGGTGATTGGATTATGGGGGTGGTTTCTAATGGTTTAGCAGCATCTCCCTACTGCTGCTTCATGATAAAGTTCTCATGAGATCTGGTTGTTTAAAAGTGTGTAGCATTTTCCCCTTTGCTCTCTCTCTCTCTCCTACTCTGCCATGGTAAGATGTGCCCGCTTTTCCCTTCACCTTCTGCCATGATTGTAAGTTTCCTGAGGCCTCCCAGCCATGCTTCCTGTATAGCCTGTGGAATTGTGTGTCAATTAAACCTCTTTTCTTCATAAATTACCCAGGCTCAGGTAGTTCTTTATAGCATTGTGAAAACAGACTAATAGAATCATAGTGAGCAAAATATTAAGTAAATTATGTAATATTAATGCTGTGTTGATTATCTATACAAAGGATTGGCAAACTTCCTGTACGGGCCAAATAGTTAAAATTTTAGTCTTTGTAGAGTATATGGTTGTTGTTGCATCTTCTTCTCTGTCTCCACTTCCTTTTTTTTTCTTTTTTAAATAATGCTTTAATATGTAAAAACATTAGCTCATGGCTGGGCAGTGATCAGATTTGTCCTGCAGGTGACCCTTGATCTATACAATGATCCAACTCAATTTACAGAAGTCAAAATCAGAAAGAAGCTGTCATCTGAAATTTTTATAAACATAGTGCAAAATATTAAACTAAATTTATGAGAAACTTTATTATTTTAATTATATACAAGGAAAAATTAGAACATGCATTTGCACATGAACAGAAAAAATAAAACCAGAAATATACAGCAATTCAGATATAGAAGCATTTCCTATTTTCTTGTGCCTTCTCAGTGAATGTTATAGAAACTGCATTTTTAAATTTATGGTTAGAATTTCTCAATTTCCAGTTAGATTACAGGTGAGAGAAAAATATAAATGTTCCACATTATGATGGGAAACAAGGATGGGTTGTCCCCCACAGTATCTGGGGAGTGTGATTAATGGATTAACTTTCTGCTAGTCTGGGTACCATCAGGCTGTGCATACAGACAGCAAAGCACTAGTATTCACAAGGGTGTTGCCAATGGCATGATGATAGATCTGATCTCTAAAATAAAATAAAAAGTATTTGCTGCTGGGAATGGTGGTTCACACCTGTAATGCCAGTACTTTGGAAGGCCAAGGCAGGTGGATCACTTGGGCCCAGGAGTTCAAGACCAGTCTGGGCAGCATGGTGAAACCCCATCTCTACAAAAAAATACAAAAATTAGCCAGGTGTTGTGGTGTGTGCCTGTAATCCCAGCTACTTGGGAGGCTGAGGTGGGAGGATCACCTGAGCCTAGGAGGTCAAGACTGCAGTGAGCCATGATGGGACCACTGCACTCCAGCCTGAGTGACAGAGTGAGACCTTGTCTCAAAAAAAAAAAAATAGTATTTGCTGATTTTTTCTGGTGTAAATACTCAAAATGTGGTCCATTTCAAGCTGTCAGTGGTTTAATAATCAGATAGCAAAATTCTTGAATATGTAATAATCAGCTGTAGGAGCTTGTTCTGAGATAATGCTGGCTTTCTGTCATCCACTTAAGAGAGAGTTTTCCAGATCTCAGATTACTTTCTTTGAAAGCTATTTATTATGATGTCAGATTGATTCATGTTCAGTATTTTTAAAGAAACAATAGGTAAAACTCTGAGCATCGTTACATTATAAAAAAATAGTATTCTGTTTCAATGGTAGACTACAACCCATTGGCTGAATCTGGCACATAGCCTGTTTTTGTACAGTCTATCAGCTAAGAGTATTTTTCACATTTTTAAAGGTTTGTAAAAGAAAGAAAAAGAGGAGGAAGGAGAATATTAAACAGCAACCATATGTGGCCAGCAAAGCCTAAACTATCTGGCCCCTTACAAAAAAATGTGTGTGATCCAGTTCTGCTTTATCATCACCAGAATTTAAAAATAAGATATATTTTAGTCTTCTATAAAAGGCATAGAGTATTAAGTAGAAATCCAAAGACAATATTATTTTCTGAAAACAAGAGGTAAGAGAGGTAGAAACATGAGTGTAATTAACAGTGATGGATGCTCATTTCTTCACTGTAGTAACCTCTTTACTATCTCTATGTATCCCATAACATCATGTGGCACACCTTAAATATACACAGTAGAATTTATTTTTAAGAAAGACATGTTAACAAAAATAGAGCAATATAAATACTCAAGTTAGATTGTGTGTTTTTTGCTTAAAGATACTTGGCATTTTAATCCCTAAGAATACAAATTTCAAATTCTTGCCAGTCTTTGGAATGGCAAAGGCATGGAGCAACTGCAAGTCTAATTCACAGTTGTTTCTTATCACATTAGCATACCCTTAGTATGTGACTCAACAAGTCTACTCCTAGCTACTTCACCAAGAGAAATGAAAACATATGAACACAAAATGACTTGTGTAAGAATTTTAACACAGCGTCATTTATGACAGCCCCAAACTGGAAACAACTCATATGTATGTGAGTATGGCAGTAAGGAAACAAATTGTGGTATATTTAATGGAATACTACTCAGCGGTAAAAAGGCCCACTTGCTATTACATGCAACAGTATAGATGAATTTCAAAAGCTTACAGTGAGCGAAGAAGCCAGATTGAAAAGATCGTACACTGTTTAATTCAATTTTCTGTAAGAAGACCGAATAGTAAGTATTTTCAGCTTTTCAGGCCATATTGTCTTTGTTTCAACCGCTTAACTCTGTCACTGCAGCTCAAAAACAGCCACAATCAATATATAAGGAAGGAGTGTGACTGTAACAATCAAACCTTATTTGTGAACACGGAGATTTTAATTTCATAAGCATTTTATCTATCATAAAATATTCTTCTTGAAAAATCATTTAAACATGTAAAAAATATTTTTATCTTTAGACCTTTACTAAAAAAACTTGTGGGTCATAATTTGCAAATGCTGTGTTGTAGATGACACTGTACTAACGTAAATGTCATAAAGCAGATAAATAGTTGCCTGACGCAAAGGACGGGGTGGGGTTGATTGCAAAGAGGCACAAGGGTAATCTTGGGGGGTGATAGAAATGTTTGCTATCTTGATTGTAGTGGTGGTTATATATGAGTATATATTTGTTGCAACTCACCAACTGTACATTTAAAATGGGACGTTTTGTTACACGTAAATTATTCCTCAATAAAGTAATAAAGTTAATTTTTCACAAAAAAAGAAAAAGAATAAACTGCAAGTAGAAGTAGATGTATTTATTTCACTCTTATTCTCCCCCAAAACTTTCACTAGCTTGAATGCTATTTTACAAGACAGCAAGCCTATCTTAGGAGGTAACAGAGTTTCCTCTGTTTTGGTTTTTTTTTTTTTTTTTTTTTTTTTTTTTTGCAACAGTTAGGAATGGGGAGACTTGAAGGAAAAGAAAAGAATTAACTGATTATTGAGCTCTTAACTAGTTAGTTGAATCTATGGTATCACGGTCCTATACCAGTATCATGGTTACTATACCAGTAAGATACACCACGTTTAGAATCTTTTAAAAATTAATTTGATTCAGAGCTGCTGATTTCATTATCATTAAGATATACTGTACAATCATGGAAATGTGCTGAAAAATAAAGGAAGCAAAAACAATTTTAAACATTATATTGACATAAATGATAAAGCTACATAATAATGTCAACAATCAAGCTTAATATCAATTTAATGCTAGTATTATACTACATGCTTTACCTGTGTTATCTAAATCCTCAAAACATCCTTCTGAGGTTTGATCTCTTTATTGTCTTCCTTTTTTCATGGGAAAAGTGAGACTTGTTGAGGTTAACCAGCATGCTTAGACTTGCACAGATGGAAGCCAGGCTGTCTAACCCTAGAACCTTAGCTTGATAAGACCGAGAAAAGATTTTCTTTCCCAGAAGTCTTTATTAGAATAACAACAAAAACAACAACAACAAAAGACTAGGTATCCTGGCTTTAAATCCTCTGGGGATTTTGAAGGATGAGAATATAAGGGTCTTAATTTTCTAAGTCCCATTCCTTAGTATTGCTTTACTTAGTATTTACTTTGCTTTATAGTGTCTTAATTTTCTAAGTCCCATACCTTAGTATTGCTTTACTTAGTATTTACTTTGCTTATAAGTGTGCAAAAAAAGTTTGTGGAATGAAAGAATTATTTAGGAATTGTTCCCAGAGTGTTTTGGCCTTAATTCCTTATGTAAATGTTTTCTCACCATTTAAAATTCTTTTTTATTAAGATGGAATTCACACAACATAAAATTAATCATTTTAAAGTGTACAATTGAGTGGCATTTAGTACATTCGCAACATTTTGCAACCATCACCTCTATCTAGTTCTCTTTCCCTAATTTTTAAAATAAGTATAAACTTTAGAGTCTATACATTATTTTTGTGTCTTCAAACCCAGGACAAAAATATATATTCAGCTAGAAATGTTTTTGATCACAACTGCTGTCTTGTCTTTAGCAGTGTAAACCACTTCAGATGTTCGAGGCTTCTTGGTCTGGGTACCACCAACATACTCTCCTAGCTGTTGAATGAAGAACACATTGGCAAGTCAAGACAATCTTTTCAAGATCAGGCATTTGCTGGTTATGCAACCTGCATTGCTGATATTGGTCCAGTTGCTTTTACACTCCTGGAGTATGTCATTCCTTTTTGATCACTCACAGTATTTGCTGTCTTGATGGGAAATGAGCAAGAGTGTTACACTCAACCAAAGTATGTCTGGGACTAGGTTACAATTCTTAGAGTTCTCTTCACTGTCCTTAAATAGAGATAGGGAAACCGTGATTTGAAAGTTGTTGCATGCTTTCAGATGGTTTGGAAGTCGGAAATTGTAGACACCTGGGCTGTTATATTACTCATGGGCTTGTTTTATGACCAGGATTGATGCCAGATGAATGTTGCTTGGGCAGGCTGCGGTGCTCACTCCCAGGTGAGAGTTTATAATGCCCTTCTGATAAGGAGAGAGCCACGGGGCAAATTACTGCTGGGCTCTGAAAGTTCACCAGAGATGGCGATCAACAGCAGACATCTGTTTACTTCCTTAACTTTGTGTATGAAATTCCCAGATGTGTATGCATCAAAAATGAGGGAAAAAATGAGTTACATCTTCTTTTATCAGTTGTCTATGTCATTCTACTTCTTCATAATTGTTTTTTTAACTAGAGTAAGATGTATCTGTTTGTATTAAACTGCTTTCTCATGATATTTTGGGGAACCTACTGAGTGGGAAAGGAAAAGAAGAAAAATAAGAAAAAAAAAAGAAGCAATCTTTTGGATAATCAATCATCAATCAGTCTTCCTCCCAGACCATGCACCTGTTCCTTTCAAGTTCATTGCAGAAGTGAATGAGAAAGGATTTTATTATATTGTGACCTTCTGTCTAAATTTTCCTTTATGAAGCAGTTGCAGCAGATAGTGAGGCTCCAGGAACTGCAACTGCAAGCACTATAAATACAGTTAAACAGACACATCTGGGAACAATGGTTATTTTTATGATAGAATAAAATTTCTATGTTTAAATAACACCCCATGAAAACTAATTAATCTTTAAAGTGTTAAAAATGTCCAGAAAATTATATTGCCTTGTTGCAATACATAAGAAGAGGGCATTCAAATCTGATGTCTGCTAAACTCTGTGATGACTTTTTATTTTTCTGGTGTCACTGTTCAGGCTTTGAAAACCAGATATACAATTCAAACAAACTACATAAGCAGGTGAATGCTCCAATTTCATTTTTATAGTGTGACTCAGCAGCTGTACTCCATCTAAGGCAGGTTGGACATAATAATAATTCACTCTAATTACTCCTTTCTGATAATGGGTACTCTTGGCATAATCCCCGAAAGAAAGCTTTGAAGTTGGCTCAAGTTACCAGCAGGAATCATGATAACACATTTTTATGATTCTTAGAAGTTTTTGTCCCCAGAGATCTCCAGATAGTTCTCTTTCAATGATTCATATACTTAGTGTTGCCTTATGACATATTTCCTGGAAAACTTTTAATCTCAGATGTTTTCCCTATTTGCCTAGCGTTTTCTCCTGCTACCCAGAGAGCCTCATTCTATGAAATGACACCATAGTGAATATAATACATGAACTGCACATACAGAAAAATATCACAAACTATGATGGAAATGACTTTTTCATATGACACCATTTTTGGAATATCCATGTGACTTTCTGAGTTTATAGAAATGATCAAGAAACGTATATACATCAATGGAGAAAAGATCTTTTATGGGCCTGCTATTTTTGCCTGCTGCTTCAACTACAAGTCTAAATAAAAGGAAATCAGAGAAATGTTTCTCAAAAAAGAAAAATACTGAAGATCAAAATAGTTGTAAGATGGTACAATGTTCTCCATAGACTTGACCTTAAGCATTCTGGTAGAGTGGTCATTTATTTTCTCAAGGATTTGATTTTCATGTCATACCGCTCTTCAGCAAATGCCACCCAATGTCATTTCTGTTAAAGTCCTAAATATATGCATTCTAAACCACAGCTCAAATAATATTTAATTGTTATTCTCTTGTGTTGTAATTCTATGCCAGTGAGGGGGTGGAAGAGTGGTAACTTATCACCAAGTATAGCATTTCATAAAATCTTTGAGCAGACAGAAATAACTTCCTTCAAAAGTATACAGGGATACTTTGATGTAGAACATATTTGTTCTTGCCCTCTGGAAGTCACTCATCACAGGAAAGACAGTTAATGACTTTCCCCAGATACGCATTTCTTCCTGTTTCTGTCATTCTTTAAATACTTGTCTTTTGCCACTAGCTTTTAGTCATTCATTACTGTGTAGATTTGAATAGCTGCAAATTCCAGAGGGAGTAAAATTGAATAATATCTAAACTCATATGGCCAAACATACAGACAGGGCTTACAAAGTACCTCAGTACCCAGGGTCCTATTTGCTTAAATTGTTTAGGCACCACTTGGGAAGGAACTCACCCAAGAAAAGAGTCCACAGACACAGCATATGGATAGGGGTGGTGTAGGCAGAGTTTGTGGATGTGTATGTATTTTGGTATTGGGAGAAGATAAGAAATTATCAACTGGGGCATAAGTTAAATATGTATAAGTTACATAAACTGCACCCATTTTGAGCATATACTTTGAGAAATTTTGAAAATATAACTCTGTGTAATCACCTCCACAACCTAAATATAGAACATTTATCAGCCCCAAAATTGTGCCCCTTTGTAGTCGATTTCAATTCTTCAACCTCTGACCACAGGCAACCACTGATTAGATTTGAATTTTTTGCAGTTTCATGTAATTATAATCTTAGAGTTTATACTCTCTTGTGTAAAGCCAGTGTTGTTGTGATTCATCCATGTTGTTGCATAAAAGTAGTATATTCTTTTCATTGCTTATCGTAATTTCATTTCATGGATATACCACATTTATTTATCCAGTCACCTGTGGATGGACATTTGGGTTTTCTCTCATTTGGGCTATGGCAAATAAAGGTGCTATGAACATTCACAAACATTCATGTACTACTCTTTTTGTAGATATGTGTTTGCATTTATTTTGGTCAAATATCTAGGAGTACCATGGCTGATGGTCAGTGTATGATTATCTTGTTAGAGTAACTGACAAGCTGTTTTCCTGACTAGTTGTAATATTTCACATTCTTACCAGCAGTGTGGAACAATTGTCCTACATACTTGCTGACTCTTGGGACAGAGAAGCTTTTTAATTTTAGCCATTATAGTGGGGTTATAATGATATCTATTTGTAGTCCTAATTTGCATTACCTTGATGAATAAAGATGCTGAGTTTATTTTAATGTCCTTATGGTTATTTATACATCTTCTTTTGTGAAGTGTTGGAACAAAACATTTTTATGTAGGGTTATTTGATCTATTACTGATTTTTCAAGTGTTCTTCATATTCTAGAAATAATTCCTATACCAGATATATTTATTGCGAATATTTTCTTCCAGTCTGTTTGCTATTTCATTCTCTTATCAGTATCTTCCTTCCAAAGGGCGAATGTTTTCTCTCTTTTTATGATGAAGTCTAAGTTGCCCATTTCTCTTTTATTAGTTGTATTCTTTGTGACTTACCTAAGAAATCTTAACCTATTCCAAGTTTGTAAAGATTTCTCTTGTTTTCTTTTGAAAGTTTTATATTTTCTTTTGGAAGTTTACATCTATGTTGCATTTCAAGTTAATATTTTATATAGTGGAAGGGAAGAGTCAAGGCTCACTGTTCTGTATGTATAAATACTTATCCCCATATCATTGTGCAAAAGACTATCCATTTCTCTGTTGGATTGTCTTGGTAGCTTTGTCAAAGTTAACATATATACATAGCCACATATATGTGTGGGTATATTTCTGACTCCCTGATATGGTTTGGCACTGTGTCCCCACCCAAATCTCATCTCAAATTTTAATTCCCCTAATCCCCATGTGTCAAGGGTGGGACCTAATGGGAGGTGATTGGATTATGGGGGTAGTTTTCCCCATGCTGTTCTCGTGACATTGAGTGAGTTCTCACAAGAGCTGATGGTTTTATAAGGGGCTCTTCCCCCTTCATTCATTTGCTCTCTTTTGCCTGCCGCCATGTAAAATGTGCCTCCTCCCTTTCCACCATGATTGTAAGTTCTCTGAGGCCTCCCCTGCCATGTGGAACTGTGAGTCAATTCACCTCTTTCCTTTATAAATTACCCAGTCTCAGATATGTCTTTATAGCAGTGTGAGAACTGACTAATACACTTGCCATTCTGTTCCACTAATATATATTTCTATTTTTATGATAACAGCACACTTAAGAATAAGTAATAAAATCAGATATTATTCTCTTTGTAATTTTTTTTCCCTGCTATTGTAGGTTATTTGCATATCCATATATATTTTCAACTTAGCTTGTCAATTTTTAAAAAAATGTAGACTTGGTTATATTTAAAATATAGGCTGTTAACTTGGTTGGGATTGCATTAATTTTATAAGTAAAATTATAGAAATCTTAACAATATTGAGTCTTTTAATCCATGAACATGTTATAACTCTCCATTTTATTTAGGCATCAGCATTGTTTTGTAGTTTATGCAATGTTCTGCAGTTTTTAGTGTACAGCTCATGCTCACGTGTTGTTAAATTTATACTTAAACATTTAATTGCAATTGTAATAGTATTTTTAAAATTTTAATTTCTAATGCTTCATTGGTGGCATATAAAAAACAATTTATATTTGCATACATTTGACAAACTTACTTAGTGCCTTTTTTGTTATTTTGTAGGTTGTTTGGAATTTTTAGATAGGTAATCATATCATCTTGCAAATAAGGAAGTCTAACTTTTTTTGTTCCAATATGTATGCCTTTTACTTATTATTATTTTGTTATTGAATTGACAAGGATCTGTAGCACAATGTTGAATAGAAATGAAAACAGTAGATACTATTGTCTTGTTCCTAGTCTCAGAAGGAAATCATCACTTCTTTTACTGTTAAATGTAATGTTAGTATTATGTTAGCTTGTTTTTTCATCAAAACCCCTACGTGACTAGGGAAAATTCCTTCTATTCCTAATTTCTGAAAACATAAATAATGAATAGCTATCAAACTTTGTCAACTTAATTTCCTGCATTTTTGATGATCGTATGGTGTTTCTTTTTTATTCTGTAAATATGATGAATTTGATCTTTTGAATGTTACAGCAAACTTACTTTTCTGTAATAAATCTAAATATTCCTTAAATATTTTACAGAATTGTGTTTCAGTTCTATTGCTGCATAACCAACCACTTTAAAATTGATG
Source organism: Homo sapiens (assembly GCF_000001405.40). Classification (NCBI taxonomy): domain Eukaryota; kingdom Metazoa; phylum Chordata; class Mammalia; order Primates; family Hominidae; genus Homo; species Homo sapiens. The sequence continues at coordinate 44,098 of NT_187615.1, read as the reverse complement.
AGTTTCAAACAACCTTTTTTTAGTGCACATAGAGTCTGAGTCAGGCATTCAGACAGACCACAGCAGAGATGGCTTATCTTTGCTCTTCTACTTTGTGTGCCTCAGGTCGCTAGATTCAAAGGCTAAAGTCACTTGATATCTGAGGACCAGACTCAACTCACATGTCTGGTGGTTGATGCTGGCTCTCAACCAAAAGATATATGGGTAGCTTTCCCATATCTTCTCATTGTTATATATTGGAATCACCTTTTATAACTAGAGTTGGAAGTTAAGCAGTGTAATTCTACTACATTCTATTAATTAAAAGCAAGTCCTACAATCACTCAGATACAAAAAAAAAAGAATCATATTACGTTTCTTTATGGAGTGTGACAAGGCTTCAAAAGAGCATGTGTGATAAAAGATATTAATGCAACTATATTTGGAAAATACTATTGGCCAAAACCAATAAAGCCATCTGGGACTGGAATTTTCTTTCTAAGAAGATTTTTACTTACAAATTCAGTATCTTTCATTGGCATTAATCATTCAAATTTTCTATCTCTTCATCAGTCAGTTTTCTTAATTTATGATTTTCAAGGTATTTTTTAGTTTTATCTAAGTGGTCAAATTTATTATGAAGTTGTTTGAAATATTCCCTTATTATTTTAGTCTCTGTGGCATCTCTAGTGATGTCCCCACTTTTATTCCTGATGTTGGTAATTTGATAATTTGTTTATTCTCTCTGTTACTCTCTGTCTGTCTCTCTTTCTCCCCATCTCCCACCCTTTTTTTCTCCTTTTCCCTTCTCCTCTTTCTCTCTAGAGCTTTAAGTCTACCAGTTTACTGCTCTGTAACAAGAATAAAATTTTGGTTTTATTTATTTTTTCTATTATTTGTTCATTTTCTATTTCATTGACTTGCACATTTTTCATTAGTATTTTTTCATTTCTATGTATGTGACATTTAATGTGTTCTCTTTAATCTAGGTTATTTTTCATAGTGGAGGGTTAGATCATTGATTTTAGATCTTTTCTAATATAAAATTTTAATGCTATGAATTGTTCTCTAAGCCCTTTTAGCTCTATTCCACAAATTTTGATGTGTATTTTAAAATTTCTTCTCAGTGAAGCATATTTTATAACTTTGGTTTTGATTTATTATTTTATTCATATGTTATTCGAAAAGGTGCTGCTTAATTTTCTCTTAAGTTTTGGAATGTAATTATCGTTTCCTTAATAGCTGTTCAAAGTCCTGCTAATGCCATTTTTTCATCTTCTCTATATGAGTCATTTTCTATTAACTGATTTTTGTCTTGATTATGGACAACATTATCTTCCTGGTCATTATGACTGTTTTTTGTTTGTTTGTTTGCTTTTGCCCTGATGTTTGTTGTATGTCTTTAAAGGATGTTAATGTTGAGTAGTTAGTCGAGCCTGTTCCATTTGAAGCTTGTTTTTAAGCTTTGTCATGATGGGTTTAGAGTACTCTTTACTCTAAGGCAAAGTCTGAGTCACTACTAAGGTGTGACTTTCCTGGGATCACCATCTAATGTCCAGGTATTCCATGAGGACTCTGCATTTTGGTGAATAGTAACTAGGGCATTTTCCAGCCCTGTGTGAACTCTGCTAATTGTTTAGCATATATTTCCCTGGCATTCTGCTTTATGTAACTTTTATTTCCCTGGTACACTGCCTTACATAGTTTCATAGCATACATGCATGTGCAATTTTATATTAATAACAGATTCAAAAGGACCACATTATGATTTCTGAGAGTTCTTGCTCTACACACCTTTGTCTTAGTCAACTTGGGCTATATAACAAAATACCATAAACTAGGTGGCTCAAACAACAGAAATTTCTCACAGCTCTGAAGGTTGGGAAGTCCAAGGTCAAGGTGCTGGCAGAGTTGGTGTCTGGTCAGGGTTCTGTCCTTGAGTTGTGGCCTTCTTGCTGTGTCTCTACATGATAGAGAAAGAGAGAGAGCTCTGTTTTCCCCTTCTTATAAGGACATCAGTCCCAACATGGAGACCCACCTTCATGACCTCTTCTAACTCTGGTTACCTCCCAAATGCTCCACCTCCAACATTAAATTGGGGTTAAGGCTTCAACATATGAATTTTGAGGGGACACAATTCCATTCATAGCAACCTCCTTCTTTTTTGGTACTCTACGCTGAAAATTAAAGCCACCTGAGTCTGGCTGAACATCAATCTTTACCTAACTCAGTGAAACCACCATGCTATGTTTGGGATGGTCCTAGTGATAGGTATATACTGCTATGGTATATAAACCACTTCCAGTCAGTTCTGGAAGAAAGTATGAGACTCACCTCTTTTGTGTCCCCTCTCTCAGGAATCACAGTACTGTGCTACCAGTTTTTCAATGTCTAAAAACTGTTTCCTTGTGTATTGTATTCAGTTTTCTAGCTGTTGAAGGCAGAAGATATCTTAGTTCAGGCTGCTATAACAAACTACCATAGCCTGGGTGTCTTATAAACAACAGAAATTTATTCATCACATTTCTGGGGGCTGAAAGGCTGAGATCAGGGTGCCAACGTAGTGAAGGCCCTCTTCTCGATTGCAAACCCTTGCCTTCTCATTGTGTCAACATGTGGTGGAAAAAAGGTAAGAAACTTCTACGGGCTCTCTTTTTATAAGGGCACTATTCCCTTTCATGAGGGCTCCAACCTAATTACTGAGTTACCTCTCCTAGGCTCTACCTTCTAATACTATCACATTGGAGGTTAGGATTTCAACATGTAAATTTGTGAGGGGTGGAGGTTGGGGGAACAAACATTCAGTTCATAACAAGGAATTAAATCTAGTCCCATTTTCTCCATCAGGAGAGTTTTGAATACGGCAGAGTCGATCAGTCTCCATGCCGTTGACATTGATCTCTAGGTATCCCTTATCCCTCTGGGACTGATCTTAAATATCTGCAGAACAGAGAGTGAGACAATAACAACAAAAGCAGGATTGTTAAAATCTCTGTAAGACATGGAAAGCTAAAGTTGGTTCTGCTTTGTTTCCTAGGTAGCAGGGTGGAGCCCAAGTTGGCATGGAAATTATTTTGCCTACCTTAGCATTGGTGCATGGAACTGAAGAACAATTCCTGGAATGTAGGAGGAGATTTTAGTAGCCAGGCCAGCTTTTATCTGCATGGCAACTTGGGGGTCAGAACCTAGGATGCTAACTGTAGAAGCAAAACCGAACCAAAAAACAAACAAACAAACAAAAAAAACAAAGCCAACTTGTTATTCAGTAGTCTGGGAAGAAGGTATCAGAAGCAAACCTGTAACAGTACAGAAACTTAAACTCTAGGCATACTTAGAGCTATCCAAGGTCAGGAAAACGATCTTGATTTTATACATGTAGACCTTGTCTGTTAAAGTCGTAGGGAAAAAGGCAGAAGCACTTACTCTAACAGTACTCACGGATCGGTGTGATTAATAATCACAAGCAGAAGTGGGAAGAATTATTCAGGATGACCTTAAGGATTAGTTTTTGAGCCATATGTGATACATTGCCTGGGAGTTCTGAACTAGTACAGAGCTCTTTGGGGAAAAAAAATGCTACTTTTTCAGAAGTTCCATAGGTGGTATTTTAAACAGAGATACTGTTAACATATCTTATACCTGTAGGCTCTGTCTTTGGGGGAATATACAAGACCTATTTGCTTCAAAAGTATCTCCAGATACTTTCTTTTTTTTTTTCTTTTTCTTTGTTTGAGACAGGGTCTCACTCTGTTACCCAGACTGGAGTACAGTGGCTCTATCATGGCTCACAGCAGCCTCAACCTCCTGGGCTCAAGTGGTCCTCCCAGCTCAGCCTCCTGAGTAGAAGGGGCTACAAGCATGAACCACCAGGCTCAGCTAATTTTTGTATTTTTGTAGAGACAGAGTTTCCCCATGTTGCCCAGGCTGGTCTCAAACTTCTGAGCTCAAGTGATCCTCCCATCTTGGCCTCCCAAAGTGCTGAGATTACATGCATGAGCCACCACAGTTGGACTTACCAGATACTTTCTGAAAGGGTTAGAATATGTGGCAGGATCCTAGATGTGTCTATTGTTAAGACCATTTTGAGAGAATGATTTTTTAAAATTTCACTAGGTATTAGTTTTCTACTGTTGCCATAACAAATTATCACAACCTTAATGACTTAAAAACAACTCAAGTCTATTATGTTAGATTTCTGGAAGTCATACGTCCTAAAATCAAGGTGTCAGCAGGACTGTATTTCTTCTGGAGGTTCCAGGGGAGATTTTAATTCTTTGTCTTTTCCAATTTCCAGAAGCCCCCTGCATTCCTTGGCTTGCAGCATGTTTTCTTACATCACTTTGACCTCTACTTACATCCTCACATCTCCTGCTTTGACTCTCACCCTCCTGCCTTTCCTTTATAAGGACCCTTGTGATCAAGGATAATCTCTCCATATCAAGGTCCCTGACTTCACATCTGCAAAGACTTTTTTTTTCTTTGAGACAAAGTCTCACCCTGTAGCCCATGCTGGAGTGCAGTGGCACAATCTCAGTTCACTGCAACCTCTGCCTCCCGGGTTCAAGTGATTCACCTGCCTCAGCCTCCCAAGTAGCTGGGATTACAGGTGTGTGCCCCCACACCTGGCTAATTTTTGTATTTTTAGTAGAGATGGGGTTTCACCATGTTGGTCAAGGTGGTCTCGAACTCCTGGCCTCAGGTGATCTGCCTATCTCTGTCTCCCAAAGTGCTGGGATTATAGGCATGAGTCATTGTGCCCAGTTGCAAATACTTCCTTTGATATGTAAAGTAATATATTCACAGGTTCTGGGGATTAGGACATGAATATATTTGGGGAGCTTTTTTTAATTTTTTTTGGCCTACCACACAGGCTGGCATCTCTTCAGAGGATTCTTGACATGCTTTTCCTATTTGAGGAATGTTATGAACTGAATGTTTTCATCCCATAAAACTCACATGTTGAAATCCTACCCCTCACTGTGATGGTATTAGGAGGTAGGGTCTTTGGGAGGTAATTAGGTTGTAGGGGTGGAGCCTTCATGAATGGAATTAGTGCCCCAATAAGAGATACTCCAAAGATCCCTCTTGTCCTCTTTCCTCTATGTGATGATACAATGAGAAGATGGCCATCTGCAACTTGGAAGAGGACACTCAGCAGAAGCTGACCATGCTGGCACCTTGATCTCAGACTTTCAGGCTCCAGAACTGTGAGAAATAAATTTCTGTTGCTTATAAGACACCCAGGCTATGGTGTTCTGTGATAGCATCCTGCACTCACTAAGACATGAAATTGGCAATTGAAGGATGCCTTTCTTTGGATGATCAAAAGTCATCCATTGGCTCAGGCCTGTAATCCCAGCACTTTGGGATGCTGAGGCGGGAGGATCACCAGAAGTCAGGAGTTCAAGACCAGCCTGAGCAACATAACAAAACTCTGCCTCTACTAAAAATACAAAAATTAGTCGGGCATGGTGGCAGGCACGTGCAATCCCAGCTACTCAGGAAGCTAAGGCAGGGAGGTGCCCGCTTGAACCCGGGAGGTGGAGGTTACAGTGAGCCCAGATCATGCCACTTCACTCTCCAGCCTGGGTGACAGAGCTAGACTCTGTCCAAAAAAAAAAAAAAAAAAAAAAAAAAAAAAAAAAATCATCTGTGGTCCTTAAATGGCACAACAAGAGTTGTCAACTTGGGGCTTCACTTTTCTTAGATAAGGTGTTGTTAGTCTTTACAAGCTATATCCTAGGCAGCCTGGAGAATACCTCTTTGGCTGCTAAAACTGTCCACACCATGCATCATGCTCTTGTATGTATCCCAGCATAAACTATGAGACTGTGGGCACATAATGTATAATGACAACACTCACAACAATACAACTGTCTCCCTGAATACCTATGGAGGAATTTGTCACTCCCTTTCTTGATGCTTACCAATTACACAAAGAACCTGTGGTTAAAGGGTGAAAAATCTTATATTTTCCTATGTTTTTGGCCTAGACTGTGGGGTGCGTTAGGCACCTGGTTTTAATGATTATTTTAATGGCATTTTAAGCCACAGGCTTAGATTGCTCCTCTCTCTTGCCAGTTCTTACTTGTCTTTTATGTCCTACAAGCCCTGTTCTTAAAACCCCACTGGGCAGAGATAGAGCTTTCTCCTGTGAGGTGTGTGCAGTGCCAAGCAAATCACTGGCCCTCTGCAAATAATAATAGTGTTTGGGGCTGTGACAGGAGATGGAAACTGGACATTTTCTGACCCTCAGTTCCAGCGTATTCTCAGAGCACATTCATTTTGGCATATACTTTGGAAACTGAAAGCTCTCTGAGGGAGTATCAATCACTTTTATGGTGATGTCAGTAACTATATGTATGTGGTCATATGTATGCACTTTGATTACAACATCCATAACTTCATTTCAAAAATGGCTGAAGGCCTACTATGTGTAAATCATGTTGTCGAGCATAGTGGGGTGAAAGATGATGAAAGTTGCTGTAGGTCTGTTGCGTGTGTATGTAGTATGCAAGTGAACACACATGAACACATACATAAGTAGAATGCATGTACACATGTGTATATAGTAGCTTTTTAAATTAGGTTGATAATTTGATTCTTTTTATTTGAAAGAATACTTTGGAAACCAAACCTAATTTCAACTGAAGAAGTTTCTTTTTACCATTGGCAACACTTGAAATAAACAGATGACTTAGGGGCCATCAAAGCATCCTTAAAGCCACTTGTCTCTCAATATTTTTTTCACTTTTGACTCTGATGATATCAAAATGACTTAATAGTATTTAAGTTCTAGAATCTTTGGCACTGCCAGTGTTTGTTCAGCACAGATTTGAGGAAGTAGAGAGGACACGGGATAAATTTCTATTCTCTCGTGTATGTGTGCATGAGTGTGTATAGACAGTGTCCTATTTAGATGCTTCTAAGCAACAAGGATGTTCTACGTGGTGATGGCAGGTATGAGTATAGGAGTGGCTTCCTTTGGGTGGAGGCACAGACAGCAAGTTTATTTGATGAATGCTGACGGCAAATATCATCCAAGAGAGAATATATGGGAAAGGCGCTGTGATAAGAGAGCCTAGGGAGCCTTCAGGATAGATAGAAAATCTCACCAGGGGAAGACAACATGGCTCTGGGAGACTGGGAAGGTCCTCAGCCATTCAGCACCGTAAGGACGAGCTCTGCCCCATGGGCCAGTCATCCCGACAGGATATGCCTCACAAATGCTTCATAGTCGATACAACCATTGCTGCCCTCGTTCCCTGCCACCAACACCTCTACTTCTTCCTCTGTTATCTTCTCACCCAGTGTGACAAGAACGTGCCAGAATTCAACACCCATGATGGTGCCATTTCCTTCCTTGTCAAACACCTGAAGTCCTTCTACGTAATCTTCATAGGTGCCTTGGTCCTTGTTCTTGGCCACCATCTGCAGCATGGGCAGAAAGTGCTCAAAGTCCAGCAACTTCACATTCATCTCATTACTCTTGGGGTTCCTCAGAACCTTGACCACCTCAGTGTTAGTGGGATTCTGACCTAGGGGCCTCATCACATCCCCACATTGGTTGTACAGGATCTTGCCATCACCTGTTCGGTCAAACAGCTGGAAGGCCTCCTTGAACTCTGTGGTCTGGTCCTCGGTGAAGTCACACATCATGACTGCTCAGCTCTGCGGGACTTTTCCCTGCAGTAATGGCCAGGAGTGGCTTTTTGTAAAGGATTTAAACTGATATCCGCCTCTCTACCCTGCCGCAGACTTTCCTGGTTAGTAGCAAAGGGTGACTTGAGATGTAAGAAGTTAGCTCCGGCTGCTTCTGGAGACTCCTAGCCCACAGTTGACTAAATGTCACTTATTTGGAGATAAAGACTGTTCAAAAGTTTGAAGAATTCTTCTCTCTTTCCTCTCCACCCCTCCCTGGGGAATGAGCCCTGAACCACACTCCTACTCTTACACTAAAATCCCCTAATTAATCCATTTAAAAATTTCTTCGTGAGACCTTATTCATTTTCAATGGCTTTGATGTTGCTGTAACAATGGATGCAGAAATCGTTTTGGTTAATGAAATTTGACTCTCTGGAAAGCCCCATTCCTTCATTCCCCTTTGAAACATGCCTCTAATGATTGTGACAATGTACTATGGCAATTAAAAAAAAATATATAATTCCCTGTCAAACTTTTTTAAGCTCCTCCTATTCTTAACAATGTCTTGGGACTATTGCTTTGATACTTTGTCCCCACAGTAGGCATCTGCCCAATGAAGAACACCATCAAAGTAATATTTTTAAATGACGTTTTTATTTTTATTAAAACATTTTTAAGGAGACAAACTCTTACACATTTATCACTTCATATTATAACTACTTTTCTTTTTAAATTCCTGTCCATTCTTTTGAATATCTGCAATAGTTTAAAAGATTTAGAATGGATAACTGAACTTAGCAGATATATGACAACTTCTTTTGTCATCTGTATTAGCCTGCTGATAAAGACATATCTGAGACTGGGAAATATACAAAAGAAAGAGGTTTAATTGAACTCACAGTTCCACGTGGCTGGGGAAGCCTCACAATCATGGTGGAAGGTAAGGAGGAGACAATCCTGTCTTACATGGATGGCAGCAGGCAAAGAAAGAATGAGAGAGATGCAAAAGTGGGAACCCCTGATAAAGCCATCAGATCTCATGAGACTTATTCACTACCACGAGAACGGTATGGGGGAAGCAGCCCCCATGATTCAAATTATCTCCCAACAGGTCCCTCCCACAACATGTGGGAATTATGAGAGTAGAATTCAAGATGAGATTTGGGTAGGGACACAGCCAAATCGCATTGTTTCACCCCTGGCCCCCGAAAATCTTATGTCCTCACATTTCAAAACCAATCATGCCTTCCCAACATTCCCCTAAAGTCTTAACTCATTTCAGCACTAACCCAAAAGTCCACAGTCCAAAGTCTCATCTGAGTCAAGGCAAGTTCCTTCTGCCTATGAGCCTGTAAAATCAAAAGAAAGCTAGTTACCTCCTAGATACAATGGGGGTACAGGCATTGAGTAAATACAGCCATTCCAAATGGGAGAAATTGTCCAAAACAAAGGGGTTACAGGGCCCATGCAAGTCCAAAATCCAGCGGGGAAGTCAAATTTTAAAACTCCAAAATGATCTCCTTTGACTCCAGGTCTCACATCCAGGTCATGCTGATGGAAAAGGCGGGTTTCCATGGTCTTGGGCAGCTCTGTTCTTGTGGCTTTGCAGGGTACAGCCTCCCTTTCAGCTGCTTTCATGGGCTGGCATTGAGTGTCTGTGGCTTTTCCAGGCAAACAATGCAAGCTGCCAGTGGATCTACCATTTTGGGGTCTGGAGGACGGTGGCCCTCTTCTCAGCTCCACTAGGCAGTGTCCCAGTAGGGAGTCTGTGTGGGGACTCCAACCCACATTTCCCTTCTGCACTGCCCTAGCACAGGTTCTCCATGAGCACCCTGCCCCTGCAGCAAACTTCTGTCTGGGCATCCAGATGTTTCCATACATCTTCTGAAGTCTAGGAAGAGGTTCCCAAACCCCAATTCTTTTTTTTTTTTTCACATATTTTCTTTTTTTTAAAATTATTATTATACTTTAAGTTTTAGGGTACATGTGCACAATGTGCAGGTTAGTTACATATGTATACGTGTGCCATGCTGGTGCACTGCACCCACTAACTCGTCATCTAGCATTAGGTATATCTCCCAATGCTATCCCTCCCCCCTCCCCCAACCCCGCAACAGTCCCCAGAGTGTGATGTTCCCCTTCCTGTGTCCATGTCTTCTCATTGTTCAATTCCCACCTATAAGTGAGAATATGCGGTGCCAAACCCCAATTCTTGACTTCTGTGCACTCACAGGCTCAACACCATGTGGAAGCTGTCAAGGTTTGGGGCTTGCACCCTCTGAAGCTACAGTCCGAGTTGTACACTGGCCTTTTCCAGCCACAGCTGGAGCAGCTAGGATGTGGGGCACCAAATCCCTAGGCTACACATAGCATGGGGACCGTGGGCCCACTCACGAAACCATTTACTCCTAGGCCTCTGGGCCTGTGATGGGAGCCGTGAAGCCCTTTGACATGCCCTGGAGACATTTTCCCCATTGTCTTGGGGATTAACATTTGGCCCCTCGTTACTTATGCAGATTTCTGCAGCTGGCTTGAATTTCTCCTCAGAAAATGAGTTTTTCTTTTCTATCACATTGTCAGGCTGCAAATTTTCCAAACTTTTATATTGTTTCTCTTTTAAAATTGATTGCTTTTAACAGCACCCAAGTTACCTCTTGACTGCCTTGCTGCTTAGAAATTTCTTCTACCAGGTACCCTAAATCATCTCTCTCAAGTTCAAAGTTCCACAAATCTCTAGAGCAGGGGCAAAATGCTGCCAGTCTCTGCTAAAACATAACAAGAGTCACCTTTACGTCAATTCCCAACAAGTTCCTCATCTCCATTTGAGACCACCTCAGCCTGGACCTTATTGTCCATATCTCCTTAGGCTTTGGTTAAAGCCATTCAACAAGTCTCTAGGAAATTCCAAACTTTCCAACATTTTCCTGTCTTTGTCTGAGCCCTCCAAACTGTTCCAACCTCTGCCTGTTACCCAGTTCCAAAGTCACTTCCACATCTTTGGGTATCTTTTCAGTAACATCCCACTCCTGGTACCAATTTACTGTATTAGTCTGTTTTCACACTACTAATAAAAACATACCTGAGACCAGGCAATTTACAAAAGAGGTTTAATTGGACTTACAGTTCCACATGGCTGGGGAAGCCTCACAATCATGGCAGAAAATAAGAAGGAGCAAGTCCCATCTTACATAGATGGCAGCAGGCAAAGAGAGAATGAGAGAGATGCAAAAGTGGAAACCTCTGATAAAACCATCAGATCTCATGAGATTTATTTGCTACCAAGGGAGAACAGTATGGGAGAAACTCCTGCCGGGATTCAAATTATCTCCTACCGGGTCCCTCCCACAATATGTGGGAATTATGGAAGTACAATTCAAGATGAGATTTGGGTGGGGACACAGCCAAACCATATCATCATCACTATTTCTTCTTTTTTTCCTTTACAATCTAATGGGAGCTCCAGACAAGAATTACCCTTTAATTAGTTGGGTTTTTGGCTACATTATTCTTGCTTCTCCATTCACTTTTGGTTAAATGCGTTTATCATTAGTGCATCTCCTTTTCCTCCTTCTCCTTGTTCTTTTTCTCCTATATCTCCTCCTCTTTCTTCTTCCTCTTCTTTTACTTCTTACTCTTCGTCCAGACACTGCCAAGTATTTCCATGAATTATCTTTTATACCCTTTATCACAGCTCTATTATGGACGTACTATCCTATTTTAGAGATGAAAAAATGGAAGCTCCAGAAAGGGAAGACACTTTCTGAAGATCAAAAGCTAGAAGTGGTTAAAACAGGTCAATTTTTTGCCAGCCCCTAAATTCCTATTCTATTCATTCACTCGTTCATCATTTTAATTATTCTTTCATTTAACAAATACACATTTAATACCTAATTATCTTTCAAGTACTATGTTGGGTGCTTAGTTAGATACAAGAAATAAGATATAATATCTATGCTCAGGTTTGTATGCGGTATGTGTGGTGTTTGTGTGTTTTTTGTGGGATGCCAAATAAGTAAATAATCCCACTATTGCATTTCCAGTGTGATTGATACAGTGGAGATAGTTACAAAGCGTCACTTAAGTACTCACGAAGAGTCACTCTGGAGAACCAAATAAGTATTCACAAGAAGGTAACATTTGATCTGTATTTTGAAGGTTAAATTTACATTCACAAATGGAAAAGACAGGAAGAACTTTCAAAGTTATAGAAGATTACATTTTCTTTGAGGAATAAAAAGAAGTTCAGGTTAGCAGGAACACAGGGACATCATGGAATTATAGGGAAATGATTGTAGACAGTGTTAGGGATAGGATGTGAAAGACAGCATTCAGTTCAGGAAACAATAGAGAGTTAAAGGGGGAGGTTTAAGGTCTCCTGATTTTTTTAAAGAAAGATGTGAATGACATATTTTAAAAAAGCAACTGTATTTATTCATACATTTAGCCAACAACCATTTATGATGCATTTATTGTTGGCAGGCATTTTGGAAAACAATAGATGAGTAGATTATAAACAGGAATCAGATATTCAGGAAATACACTCTTTTGTGGGAAAAATAATACATACTAAAAAGCCTAGAAAGTAACATTGTAAGATGATCTGATATAAATTTTATGAACATGCTGCAGAGACAGGGGACAATGGAAGACATGTGTGACAATGAAAAGGAAGAGAAAAGAAAGAGCCACAAAGATATTACCTTCCATCCCACTAAATATTACTTTCCTCTAAGAACAAAACTAAACATAAAATTAGTGATTAGGAAAGAAATGTTTGTATCTCAGTGAAGAAGACTCATATCATACTTAGAAAAGGTTTATCCAGACTCTGACGATAAATATGACCTATATTCTTTATGCTATAATGACTTGAGGTTCCTGGATGGAACTGACCCAATGATACTCTCCCTTGAGACAATCAAAGTCTCTTTTAAAAAGACTAGCAAAGATTTATGTCATACATTTCCAGTCCACAGACAATACTCAGAGGCCAACAGGGATCCTATAAATGACGAAGAGAAAGATAAGACGTTGTTAGACTGAGCTGAGCCTTCTACTCATGATTGGTGTACTTCACTTGCAAAAGCCTCATAAAGGTTGTCCTGCTGGTGCAGTCTTTAAACATAAATATCACAAAGTCTCTTGCAGGGTTTTTGCTGGGGAGCCGGGGTGTCTATTGTAATATCCTGAGTCTCTGGGTCCAGTCCTTGACATCAGCTTCCTTAAAAATAACTCAGTTTTACTGGTTAACTTAAGGTTCTTTACATAGCCTCAAAATACACTGATGCTGCACTTATTTATGCAGAAAAGTTGCTCCCAAACTGGGGAAGCTTTGATCTTCTGTCGTCAAAAAGCCAGTGTCGGTACAATGATTATAAAAGGCTTCTTAGATCATGTGTGAACAAATAAGTATATGAAGAAAGTAGTAGTAAAGACTTACTTTTTGTTGTCCTATTTATTTTTTATAAAAGAGAATTCAATTATGGATAAGTCATAGAAACACTAAACCTTTTCTCTTCACCTCTGCTTCTATTTTTAGAAGAGAGATTTTTAAAGTTCCAGAAGATGATGAGGAAATGACCTGTGTGCAAGCTGCCATGTCTTTAATAATTAAAGCATTTTGAAAGTTAGGTGAAAAGGCAGTCTCCAGGGATGGTTATGTCTGCATGGGAACAAATAGGTAAAGTTGATAATCTCAAGAGACTTCCAGCACAATGTAAGCACTAGACTTTACTCTTCCCAGTCTTTTTTGTACGTGGGACTTGGTGTCAGACTACACTTAGGTTATAAACAACGAGAGGGCAATGTTTCTTGCCACCTGGCTTGTTACCTCATGCTTATCTATGCTGCCATAAACATTTTGAACATTATTAAATGTACTTTTGAGAATAATGGTCATGGAAATGTTACCTATTTAGAATGGAACAGAATAACCTAGAAAGAAAAAGAACAGAAACGTGTCTAAGAAGTAACAATACATTTTTTCTTACTTCTAAAGAAAAGGGATCTCACCAATTTTAAAAGAACAAAAAGATACATCCACTAATATAATATATTCTGGATTTCACTTTGAATCTCAATGAAAGCATGTCGATTCAAGTTTCCTTGCAATGTAGTGCCAATTTTATTCACTATTCTAAGAGATGGTAGTGGCACACTAAACTATAGAAACCATAAACCTCTAATCTACTATAATTCAATGGTCTCTGTTATATACTTAGTAAATAATCAGGGTAATGGAGTGACCCTTAAAACCAGAGGGCTTTGCTGAGTGGCCTTATACAGTCTATATTTTCTGTCTACCTCTGTTTCTAATTCTTCAGTCTGAGCCTCATAATTTCTGACTTCTCTTTCCATGCAAGCACGCTCTGAAGAATTGAACTGATTTCTCAAATGTAGATGCAATGGTGACTATGTGATAAGCTAACATAAGTTATCAGGGTTTTTGTATCCGCTGACAAATGCCAGGAGGATATATTAGACAATTCTCTCAACTACCTGGCTGTCCTCTCATGCCCACATCAGAATAAAAAGAAATATTTTTTGCACGGAAGTATTTTTTCCATGTTTGTATGGAAGCAGCCAAATCCATATGGTCCTCTGAGCATTTAGTAAAGGAATAATAAAAGGCAAGGCAGCCAGTTCACTGCAGGGGACTCCTGAGGGTGGAAGAAGAATTTCAAAAAATTACACACACACACATGAACATTCACACACACCACACACACACCACCCCCACACACACTTTGAACCATGATTCAATTAAGAAACTGAAGGTAACACCTTGTAGGTATATAAAGAGTAGAAAAGAAAGCCCAAGGGTTTCAGTATGTACACAAAAGGACAGGCCAGGGCAATTCTGATAAGTGTGTTTAGCTTGATTACACAGTTTCAATAATTATCTGAAATAATTAGGTAAATATCAAAAGCTCAACACATTTTTGTTGCCATCTAGATATTGAAAGAGCCATAATTTCTCTGCCTGTGAACATAGTGATTATTTTCCTATCTCTATAGGCTTTGCTGCATTCTGTGTTTTCTGACGTTAAGTAAACTCTTTTACAGTCTTTGTTAGCTGATTGTAGGCAACGAGTTTCAGAAAATTTCAACTTGTCATTCTTAAAGCACTGTTTCTGTTCATATATGATCCATCAGTAGGGGTTTAAGATATGCCAGTAGTTAATATTAGTGACAGGAACTTGAAACAATATTATGTTGGACTTTTCTCATTATTTTTTTTTCTTGTGTTTGTTCATTGTTTATGAATTATTTCTCTGGGGAAGTTGTAATTCTACAAAGGCAGAAATTAAGTCCTTATTTTCTTTGCCCTAACATACTCAGGGCTCAAAACTGATGAGTTCAGGAATGGTTTTGAGTATAAAAAGTTAATGAATTAATGTCATTAAGGCCTTTAAAGCTTTGAAAATATCACAGGGGAATTTACTGAATATAAGATGTTGTTCCAAAGAATGCACAGTGTAACATCAGGAGGCTGAAAGTGAAATATTTTAAAAATATGAGAAAAAAAACATCACGAGCATAGACCAGGAAGAGGTTTGTTGATTGATTGAAAAGGAAGGAAGAAGAAAAGTCCAAGCAAAAGACTAAATACAGTATAATTGGATATCATCCAGGCTTCTATTTCTTGAATTGCTTTAGGAGATACTTCTGTGGTATGTGATATTTGTACCCATCTTCTTTTCTGTCTGTTCAGTCTAAAACGATTTCCATGTACAGTAATTATTTATATTTTGGGATGAGGACAATAGTGAAGGACATGATTTAGACAATTTTCATGAAGTGGAATGAGGCCATTAAATCTGCTCACATTTATTACAGCTTTTTTTTTTCTTTCTCAGCATTTGATCGGATTGCACAGCCTTGCCCCTCTTGAATTTAGGCCATGAAATGGGAGTGAATGTTATGTTACACTTCTGCTGAATTCTTTTTTTTTTAAATTTCAACTTTTATTTTAGATTCAGAGGGTACATGTGCAGGATTTTTAAATGGATATATTGTATGATGCTGACGTTTGGGGTATAATTAAACCCATCACCCAAATAGTGAGCATAATACCCAATAGGTAGCTTTTCTACCCTTGTCCTCCTCTCTCCCTCCCCCTTCTTGTAGTCCCCAATGTCTACTGTTCCTAACTTTATGTCCATGTGTACCCAGGGCTTAGCCCCCACTTATAAGTAAGAATATTCAGTATTTGGTTTTCTGTTTCTGTATTAATTCACTTAGGATCATGGCATCCAGCGGCATCCATGTTGCTGGAAAGGACATGGTTTTGTTCTTTTTTATGGCTGTGTAGTATTCCATGGTGTATAGGTACCACATTTTCATTATGCAATCTGCCATTGATGGACACCTAGGCTGTTTTCATGTCTTTGCTATTGGGAATAGTGCTGCCATGAGCAAACATGTTCCGTAGTTCCTCCCCCTGTCTGGGTAATCTTAGAAGCACAAGTTGAGATGGAGCATTCTTTAACCTACATTTCTGTTTGACTGTAATGTGTAAATCCTCCTGACAGTCATTTTCTTATGCAATATGTAGGATGAGTAAAAAATATATTTTCATCCACTGAGTGTTGGAGCTGTTCTTGATGATTGAAGAATAATCTGCCTTGTTCTGACTGAAACAGGGCATTAGATAGATGATTCCCTGAAGACCACTGGCCTGCTAACATGTAAGAGGTTGGTTTGCGTACTTATTTCTGGGATGATTCCAAATTCCCCGGTGGTTCTGATCCTACTGAAGAAAAATATACAATTTACATACCAGCTGAGAAACTGAGGAAAATCATAGAAATATTTTCATTAATCGAGGAAGAAAGAACATAGGCAGTTCCTCTGAATAGCACACTCCTGCTTTCTGTGCAGTTTCGTTGATCTATTAATTTTATGTAATTTGTCCTCCTTCTTGAGTTAGTTTAGGAGTTTCCATCGAGTAACCCTACTCCAGAGCCATCCTTCTGGATCACATTTAAAACAAGAGTGGAGGAAGTGTTTGAATTCAGAGAAGCTCAGTTTCCTTCAGTATCTTTGACCTCGAGACTGCAACATGACACACAGGTAGTGCTGTCAATAGCAGAAACAATGGGCTCCTTAGCTTATGTTGGTAGGTTCTCAGCTACTGCCTTCTTTATTTCAGCAACTTCAATATGTAAGATTATCCTCTGATAATCTGTCCATGTGTGAAAAACATTTTCAATCTCTGGGAGCTTCTCGCATTCTTAGGTATTTTCCAAAATAGGTTTTTTTTTCTTTTCTTTTTGTTTGTTTGTTGAACATAGCTCTTTACCAAGGTAATTTTATTCTTTCTCTTAGAAAGCAGAAAATGGTATATGAACAGCTGGGGTTGGGGGTGGGGAGAACAAAAAGTAGAGCATGGTTTTATCTGATGTCATATTACCTATGAACAAACACAACACCAAGCCTTAATTCCTATAATTGACCAAGGAAAAATGATTAATATTTGTAATATTGTGAGTGGGTGGAAAAAAGAGTGTAAAACACACTACATAAATCATGGAACCAATTAAATATGTGTTGGGGCTGGAGGGAGGGTAAATTCACTAAGAAAATGTGTTTTCATTATTTTTTCTTTCATCTCTTTTCAGAATGACACAGTAGGAGTAGATAAGATTGAATCTCTATTTTTTATTTATCTTATTAAAATTGCTGGTGCTGAAGTTTCTTTCAGGTTAGTTCTCTGT
Source organism: Homo sapiens (assembly GCF_000001405.40). Classification (NCBI taxonomy): domain Eukaryota; kingdom Metazoa; phylum Chordata; class Mammalia; order Primates; family Hominidae; genus Homo; species Homo sapiens. The sequence goes on along the minus strand of NT_187615.1, from coordinate 26,756 downwards.
TAACTTTCTGACGGAACACATATTTTTCATGAGTAATAGGCAAAATAACAATTTGTTCACAATGTGGTACACTTCCCAGTGAGATAATATAACAGAAACACCTAACATGCTTCCTAAATCAAAAATACGTCAGTCCTATATTTCTCAAAGTATTAAAAATTGGCTCAGCATTTGTGGGCACCTTCTACAGCGACACACCGAGTTTGAGAGTATTTGAGAAAATAGCAGAAATCATAACTCCTGCCATAAGAGAACTCATAGTTTCATATAGAAAATTGGGATTCTGCATCATGAAGGTTAATAAACTCAACTTGGGTTTGATGTTTAGTTTTCTTAGTAAGGTAAGAGAAATCTAAACCTCCAGCTTTACATTTGATAAAGGTGGAACTAGTAATGCATTTTCTATCTACCTTACATGTGCTGTGTAGATAATAAATTATTGTATAACTCTAAAAATCTCTCTCTGTGTATATATATAGATTCAGAGGGTACATGTGCAGGGTTTTTTTTATATGGATATATTGTATGATGCTGACATTTGGGGTATAATTAAACCCATCACCCAGATAGTGAGCATAATACCCAATAGGTAGTTTCTCTACCCTTGTCCTCCTCTCTCCCTCCCCCTTCTTGTAGTCCCCCAAAAATATCTCTCTCTCTCTCTCTCTATATATATATAGATATATATATAGATATATATATATAGATATATATATAGATATATATATAGATCTATATATAGATATATATATAGATCTATATATATAGATATATATATAGATATATATATAGATATATAGATATATATATAGATATATATATAGATATATATATATAGATAGATATATATAGATATATATAGATATATATATAGATATATATATAGATATATATATAGATATATATATATAGATATATATATAGATATATATATAGATATATATATAGATATAGATATAGATATAGATATATATATAGATATATATATAGATATATATATAGATAGATTATATATATAGATATGTATATAGATATATATATAGATATGTATATAGATATATATATAGATATGTATATAGATATATATATATAGATATGTATATAGATATATATAGATATGTATATAGATATATATAGATATGTATATAGATATATATAGATATGTATATAGATATATATATAGATATGTATATAGATATATATATATAGATATGTATATAGATATATATATAGATATGTATATAGATATATATATATAGATATGTATATAGATATATATATATAGATATGTATATAGATATATATATATAGATATGTATATAGATATATATATAGATATGTATATAGATATATATATAGATATGTATATAGATATATATACATAGATATGTATATAGATATATACATAGATATATACATAGATATATACATAGATATATAGATATAGATATAGATATAGATATATAGATATAGATATAGATATAGATATATAGATATAGATATAGATATATAGATATAGATATAGAGATAGAGATAGAGATATAGAGATAGAGATAGAGATAGAGATATAGAGATAGAGATAGAGATATAGAGATAGAGATAGAGATATAGAGATAGAGATAGAGATAGAGATATAGAGATATAGATATAGAGATAGAGATATAGATATAGATATAGAGATATAGATATAGATATAGATATAGATATAGAGATATAGATATAGATATAGATATAGAGATATAGATATAGATATAGATATAGAGATATAGATATAGATATAGATATAGAGATAGATATAGATATAGATATAGAGATATAGATATAGATATAGAGATAGAGATATAGATATAGAGATATAGATATAGATATAGATATAGAGATATAGAGATAGATATAGATATAGAGATATAGAGATAGATATAGATATAGAGATATAGAGATAGATATAGATATAGAGATATAGAGATAGATATAGATATAGAGATAGATATAGATATAGAGATATAGAGATAGATATAGATATAGAGATATAGATAGCGATATAGAGATAGAGATATAGATAGAGATATAGAGATAGAGATATAGATAGAGATATAGAGATAGAGATATAGATAGAGATATAGAGATAGAGATATAGATAGAGATATAGAGATAGAGATATAGATAGAGATATAGAGATAGAGATATAGATAGAGATATAGAGATAGAGATATAGATAGAGATATAGAGATAGAGATATAGATAGAGATATAGAGATAGAGATATAGATAGAGATATAGAGATAGAGATATAGATAGAGATATAGAGATAGAGATATAGATAGAGATATAGAGATAGAGATATAGATAGAGATATAGAGATAGAGATATAGATAGAGATATAGAGATAGAGATATAGATAGAGATATAGAGATAGAGATATAGATAGAGATATAGAGATAGAGATATAGATAGAGATATAGAGATATAGATAGAGATATAGAGATAGAGATATAGATAGAGATATAGATATAGAGATATAGATAGAGATATAGATATAGAGATATAGATATAGAGATATAGATAGAGATATAGATATAGAGATATAGATAGATAGATATATATAGATATATATATAGATATATATCGATATATATATAGATATATATAGATATATATAGACATATATATAGACATATATATAGATATATATATAGATATATATATATAGATATATATAGATATATATAGAGATATATATATAGATATATATAGATATATATATATAGATATATATAGATATAGATATATATAGATATATATATATAGATATATATAGATATAGATATATATAGATATATATAGAGATATATATAGAGATATATAGAGAGATATATATAGATATAGATATATACAGATATATATATAGATATATATATAGATATATATATAGATATATATAGATATATATATAGATATATATATAGATATATAGATATATATAGATATAGATATATATAGATAGATATATAGATATAGATAGATATAGATATATATATCTCTATCTATATATATAGATATAGATATAGATATCTCTCTATATAGAGAGAGACTGAGTTTTATATATTTTTATATATATAGAGTTATATCTATTTATATATTTATATATATCTATATATTTATATATATCTATATATTTATATATATCTATATATCTATATATATTTATATATCTATATACCTATATGTATTTATATATATCTATATATCTGTATATATTTATATATATCTATATAATCTATATATATTTATATTTATATATATCTATATATCTATATATATTTATATTTATATATATCTATATATCTATATATATTTATATTTATATATATCTATATATATTTTTATACATCTATATATATTTTTATATATCTATATATATTTATAGATATCTATATATATTTATATATCTACATATATTTATATATATATTTTTATATATATATATATGGAGAGAGAGAGAGAGAGAGACTGAGTTTTGCTCTTGTCTCCCAGGCTAGAGTGCAGTGGTGTGATCTCGGCTCACTGCAACCTCCGCCTCCCAGGTTCAAGCAATTCTCTTGCCTCAGCCTCCCGAGTAGCGGGATTATAGGTGCCTGCCACCACGCCTGGCTAGTTTTTGTGTTTTTAGTAGAAATGAGGTTTTGCCATGTTGGCCAGGCTGGTCTCGAATTCCTGACCTCAGGTGATCCCCACCTTGACCTCCCAAAGGACCAGGACTACAGGCATGGGCCACTGTGCCCAGCCTAAAAATGTCTTTATATTTTTACACACATTTAAGATTAATGTGTGGATGATGAGAAATATGTATTACAAAAGAGGAACGTATAGAAACAGTACAGTAAGTTCGAAAGCTACTAGAGTGGTTCAGAAACCAGGAGCTAAAATGCAATTTTAGGGCTATGTAGCGGGAAGGAAAAGAAACAGACAAATATTTGAGACACAGTAATTCTGAAGCTTGGGCAGAGAAGTTAAAAAGTGAACTAAAATATTGAGTCTATATGACTACAGGGACTGTCTTATCACTTTCAGTGACCTCATTCAGAAGGAGGTAATTCTGAAGTGGTGATAGAGACAAAAAGTTTAATGTTAGTCATGTTGGGTTTAGGTGATGTAACCTACCTAGGTCGAATATGTTTGTAATGCAATTGACAACACTGAACAAGAGCTCAGGAGAGAAACCCACATAAAATCTTGATTTACAATAATCAATGAGGTTTTTGAGAAAGAGGCCCCCCAAGAAGAAAATGCCTACAGTTTTAGCATGCAACAGATTTATTAAAGATATATTAGAGACATTAAAAACTATAAAGAGGTGGGGCGCGGTGGCTCACTCCTGTAATCCCAGCACTTTGGGAGGCCCAGGCCAGTGGATCACGAGGTCAGGAGATCGAGACCATCCTGGATAACACAGTGAAACCCTGTCTCTACTAAAAAAAAATACAAAATTTAGCCGGGTGCTGTGGCGGGTGCCTGTAGTCCCAGCTACTTGGGAGGCTGAGGCAGGAGAATGGCGTGAACCCGGGAGGCAGAGCTTGCAGTGAGTGGAGATTGCGCCACTGCACTCTAGCCTGGGCGACAGAGCGAGACTCCATCTCAAAAAAAAACAAAAACAAAAAGCTATATAGAAATACCGTGAACCAGGTGATGCCCACACAATTGAAAGCTTGGAAGGAGTGGATAATTTTTAGAGAAAAGCAAAAGTCACACAGTTGGACTCACAAAACATAGCCATGTTTAGATTAACATTAGGAAATTATATTAGCCAAAAAAAAAAAAAAAGTATTTCCTACCACCACCCTTCCCTCCAAATGGAACTGAGGCCAGATAGTTTCACAGGCAGTTTTTACCACATTTTAAAGGATCTGTAACTTATATGTCTTTTCCATGGACAATAGAAACAAAAGAAAGCCTTATATTTAAAAGCTATACAACAAAAGGAAATCTGTTAATTTCAATTCAAGAACATAACAAGGATCTCTGTTAGCAATCCTTCTGCTCAATATTGAATTAATGGTTCAAAACAAAGTAATACATTTAAAAACAAGTGATGTAAAGATTACAATACTTGTTATTATCATTTGATACGATTGTCTTCTAGAAAAATTTCATATACTCCACAAAGTTTTGGAATTTATAAGAATTCAGGAAGATTGCCAGGAGAATACTCAACATACAGAAATCATTAGCATTTCTGTATAGTTGCAATAAACATTGAGAAAACAGATACATAATGTATCTAGAAAAATATCTAACAAAATAAGTGCTAACTGAATGACAAAATATACCATGTTCATGGATGGAAAGATTCAATAATGTGAAAACATATGGTTTTTCTCCAAATTAACTAATACATTAATTTTAAGTACAATTAAAATCCCAGTTCCTAGAATTCATATGAAACAACAAAGAGCCAAAAGTGGAGGGATGATTTTGAAAAAAATAATAAAGTGGAAGCACACAACAGATATCAAGACACTCTGCCACTATAATAATTAGGCCTGTTTGATATCTGCACAAGAGTGAAAACAAATAAGTCAGTGAAATAGAATGGGGGTCCAGAGAAAGATCCGTACATGTATGGAAACTTTATGTGTTACAAAGGTAGTTTAAAATTAATTGGGAAAAAGACAAATGTGTAAGTGGTATTAGATTCTTTGGTTATTAATCTGAAAAAATATAGTTAACACAATACTATAATTACTTATAGGTAGATTAAACATTTGTGTGTGTAAAACTAATTTTTAAAAAATCAAAAGAGTATTTATGATCTCAGGGAAGGATTTCTTAAACAAGAAAAAAAACACAAACCATAATTGAAAAATATTCATAAGTGTGGCCATTTTAAACATAAAACATAATTTCAAGGAAAAAATACCATTAACAAAATAAAAAGAAAATCCATACAATTAGAAGCTATAAACAGCAGTGCATTTAGACCCAGAATTTATAAATTACTTCAAGTCCATTAGAAAATGAAAAACAACCCAAAAGAAAAACAAACAAGTGAACAAGATATTCACTAAAAGAGAACCTAAAAGTTTCAGAAGCTTAATTTTACTAGTAACCAGAGAATTTCAGAATAAAAATCAAAGAAAATTTCTTTTCATATGGTGGCTCATGCCTGTAATCCCAGCACTTTGGAAGGCCAAGGCAGGTGGATCACCTAAGGTCAGAAGTTTGAGACTAGCCTGGCCAACATGGTGAAACCGCATCTCTATTAAAATACAAAAATTAGCTGGGTGTGGTGGTGGGTGCCTGTAATCCCAGCTATCTGGGACGCTGAGGCAGGAGAATCGCTTGAACCTTGGAGGCAGATGTTGCAGTGAGCTGAGATCGTGCCATTGCACTCCAGCCTGGGTGAAAAGAGAGAAACTTCATTTAAAAAAAAAAAGTTCATGTTAAAAATTTGAATAGTTAAAAAGCACAGAACAAAACCTTCTAATTCTCAATAAGGAGGATAATGAACAAATTGTGTAATATTTATAAGACCTCATAGAAGATACAGTGAATGAACTAGAGAGCTACACATATCAACGTGAGTTAATCCAAAAGGCATTACAATGAGTTTTTCAAAAAGCAAAAAGATGGATACATTTTTTTTTGGCATCAAAACACAGAACAATTTGATATGTATTTCTCTTCTGGGCTGCCGTCACAAACTACTACAAATTTAGTGCCTTAAAACAACGTAAATTAATCATTTCAGTTTGTAAGTCAGAGGTTGAATTCTTAACCTTAATCTATCTGCTAAGTTCCTTTTTTCATGTAAGATAACACATTAACAGTTTCTAAGAAAGGGAATGTGAACATGTTGGGGGGTTATTTTGCTCTGTATCACAATTTATATGTTTAATGGAAAATATCTATTGTAAAATTACAGAAAGATGCATGGGGATAATTGGTACCCAATTCAGGATATTGGTTACCTCTAGATTGAGAAATTAGAGAAGAATTGGATTGAGAAGAAATTCAGAGAAAGACTATTGTTCCTCCATTATTTACTACTTAAAAAGATGGATTTAAAACTAACAAAATTCTAGGGTTTCATCAAGTTAAGTGAAGGAGAGGGTAAGAGAAAAGAACACTGTATTTTTTTAATCATAACATTTATATTTATCAGTATCTGAATATTTCATAATAAAAATATTTAAAAGGAAAGGAAGAAAATAGAAAAAAAACTTGTGTGAAGAATCGGTAAAATATTGAATCAGTGAAGTGGATATTGTGATAATTGAAAAGAGATAAAGCTAGAATGGTTAGGCCAGACACTTAAACCTCAGTAAAGTAACAGAGGGGGTTTTTAGCTTTGAGTGACGAAGAGATGATGATATTAGGGACTTAAAAGAATATGGCAAAACTCAAAGCAATCATGATGAGTGTGGTAAGGAGTAAAATGTTGAGTTAATAAACAGAGCCACCAGAGTAGATGGTCAACTACAACAAATAGTATCAGGCATTTAGAAACACACAGTTAAGTTTAGAACGGTCACTACAAAGAATGTGATTGAAGAAGGTTGGAAGGATAGACAAGAGCGAGTGCAGACAAGGATCGACCGAGTTAGGATCACCCACATTGGCAGTATACTCCACAGTGTTTTTCTACTTTTCTTAACACTTTTTGGAAGCCTACTATTTTAAACAGTAGGGGGGAAATGGATTATATTGGGGGGAATTTGCATGAGAGACAAAGGGATAATGGATTCTAGAATTGCAAGAAAAGCATCAAAATAGATAACTATGGGTTTCAAAATAAGGAAATAGGTAATTTTTTAAAAGGCAGATCTGAAGATGAGAAGAATTAGAACCCAAAAATTAGATGGGCCAGGATGAGCAGAATACAAAGTTAAGTAATTATACCAGATGTGGAGCAATAGGCTAGTTAAAGGGTGATTGCATGAAAATCTGAAAAACTTCAAATTTGTGACCTAACATGAACTTAACATAAATTTTGATGAAGTAGCCTTGAAAGTTTAGTGAGGTGAATGATAGTGGGCATTCTAACCTGTGAATGACTGTTCACACATCTCTCGGTTTCCTAAGACTTACTAAGACTGTATCCCTCTCCATCACAAGTCATATGGTTTGGCTCTGTGTCCCCACTCAAATCTCACCTTGAATTGTAATAATCTGCACGGTTCGTGGGAGAAATCCAGTGGGAGGTAATTGAATTATGTGGGTGGGTGTTTCCTGTGCTGTTCTCATGATAGTGAATAAGTCTCACGAGATCTGATGGCTTTATAAATGGGAGTTCCCTTGCACACACTCTCTTGCCTGCCACCGTGTGAGATGTGACTTTGCTCCTCAGTCACCTTCAGCCATGGTTGTGAGGCCTCCCCAGCCATGTGGAACTGTGAGTCAATTAAAACTTTTTCCTTTATAAATTACCCAGCCTTGGGTATGTCTTTATTAGCAGTGGGAGAACAGACTAACACAATACCCTTTTGGCGCTATTGTCTTTTTGCTTTCTGCCGTCCTTATCATGGTTTATTCTGATGATGTACCTCTTATAACCTGTATAGCAAAGGGTGTTTCAAGGGAGAAGGTAATAAAAAATAGTGTTTAGAATTTAAATCAAACTTTTTAGAATTTACCCATGCTTTTGAAGTGACTTGTATGATATCACACAGAGGCAGAAAGTGGACTAGAATGAAGTTCTTACACATCCTAGCCTAAAGTCCTTCTCTGGGACACCCCATTGTCTTTTAAAAATAAAGAAGGCACCCAGATCATGTAACAGTTGAGTAAAAAAGAGGGCTGGAAAGATAACTGGGAAGACGCTGAGCCTGCATTTCACTGGGCTTTTTCATCCTTGGATAAAGCTAGAAATCTCGATGTGATTAGTTTTATATTGTGTTTAGAATGGATATTTCTACACACGGCCAGCAAATGAAGGTACATTTCCTCTTGGTGCTAGAGGGCATTATGGGTGGGAATGACACCATTAACTGATGGTTTATTGCTTGGGAGAAATATTTGGACATCCTGTTGGCTTGATCAGCAGTTAAACCCCTGGTTGCTGTTTTGACCTTGGTTCACCCAGAAGATTATTTCTGTAAACCTAAAAACTGAAACCAAGTAAGAACACATGCACAAAAGAAGTCCAAAGGAAGAAAGTAAAATCTTTTGTTTATCTCTAGGGCGTGAACTTCTGCCAAAGACTATACTACTGTTCCCTCTCTGGAAACAAGGTGATTTGCATTTCTCCTGAGTTTTAGCTCCTGATTAACTATGTAAATAACTTTATTCAACAATGCCTTCTTTTCCCCTTGATTTTTGACCTTTAGAGCCTCTTATTAGTGTTTTTGGGAATTACTAAAAGAATATTAAATAATGGAATTTCAGAAAATAGGTGAAGGTTTAGTGAAAAATGTCATATTAAAGTATAAGCAGCTTAAAATAAACATAGTTTTATTAACAATTATGTTTCCAAATTGCTAATCATAATTATCTTACTATATGATAAATAACATGAAAATCTTTGGAGTCTAACTCCCTGCAGCTAACAACACATAAATATGAATGATAAGAGTTATTAGCAATACATCTTGTCAGATTCATGTGTTGCAGTTAGGTTGGGCTCCAGACCCCCTGCCTGAGGATCTCTAAGTGTGATAGGAAGCACCGCTTTTTGTAGAGAGCTTTATAGAGCCCTTGAACATGGTGTCCTTTTTGTTCGTTTGTTATGCTTTGTTTCTCCAAACACCACTGTTAGTATAAATATTATCCTGGATACTACTCTAATGAGGAAAATAAGGCTTAGAAATTTCTCCACAGTAGTTCAAAGCTGGTAAGTGCTGATCTGGTCTTGAATCCAAATGTTTAGACGGCATGTTTAGTGCTTTTCCTTATTAAATCAATGCAGAAGAGTTGATAACCAGTAATAATTTCATTCTCTGCCCTGTTTCTTACCTGGCTTAGCCAAAGCTCTATTTTTTATTCAACGACTGTACCACGCTTCATGTATGGAATTGCATGGACATAATAAACCAGGAATTTGCTACTTGCAACAAAGACATTATAATTTTTAGAGATATTCGTGGAAGGTTCTAAAAAAGGAAGAAAACTTTGATTTTTCTGTAATTATTCAATTCTAAGCAAGAGCCAAAGAATAGTTTTATAAGATCACTGTTGATTAACATCTGCCAAAAGTTTTCTTGCATGTCAAACAAAACAATCCAAGACAAAATAATAAAAAATAATGTAATAATAAAGCAATAAAACAACAGCATTAACACACAAGACAAAATAAAAAATAATGTAATAATGAAGCAAAAAAACAACAGTATTAACACGCAAGACAAAATAATAAAAAATTAATAATGAAGCAAAAAAAAGTATTAACACACAAGACAAAATAATAAAAAATAATGTAATAATGATGAAAAAAAAACCCAACAGTATTAACTCTCAGAATCTGCCCACCAAAAAAGAAAATAATAAGGTAGCAAAGAGGCTACTGAGTTTTAAGGTCCCTAGGTTTCTTTCACTCCAGTAAAGCTTGGCTAAAATAACACAAATCCTATAGCTTACTAATTTTTCAGGCCAATATTTGGGTATAATTTGTGTGCTTTATAGGCCTGGAAAACCCACAAGAGGCCACAAATTGCTGACGTAACTGTCTTTGAATTTAACAAAGCCCATTACCGTGTCAGTGAGGAGGACGGGTGGAAACTCAAGGGGCTACGTTTTCTAGGCACCCAGAGGGGCTTTTCATTGCAGCTACTGAAATAATAAACTCCCTTGATTTTTGGCGCTGACCAGAGTAGTTTTAACAGTTCACTTCTAATCGCAGATAATTCTTTTTTTATTATGTCATTTTAGATGCTGTTATTACACATACAGCAAATGTTGCTATGTTACTGAAAACCGTAAACTGCACAAATGATATCAGTCTTAACAAAAATGAAACTGTCTGTAGACTAGGGTTTAAGGGTAAGGGTGTGTGTGTTTATGTTTCAATCTACCCACCATTCATTTCCAGAATAGACTTTATGATGTCTGGAATCTGAGCTGAACTTTCTGTCCTCTCTCGTTTCAATTAAAAGAAATTAAGAGCTTGCCCATTATCTTTCCAGTAAATTTTCATGGAAATTCTGGAGTAGGGAAATTTCCAGCAAGCACATTTCATTCACTTCCCAGAAATAGAGATTAAGTTTGTATAGTCTGAACAGGAAGTGAAAACATGTTTTTTTTTCTTAGAAAAGGCAACTGCTTTTAATTAAAAAGAACAAAAAACAAAACACAAACAAAGAAAAACATGAGACAAACTATACTTGATGACTTCTGGAAGATTTTTATCCTGATAAATGATAATATGCTTAGTACAACTTCAAGGGACAAAAATGAACCATTAGACAAAAAAAATTGTCTTTTTTTTGTTTTGTTGCTTAAATTAATTAGGATTTACCATTTAATTTTTTATTTTAATTTTATTTATTTATTTATTTATTTATTTATTTATTTATTTATTTATTTATTTTTGAGACAGAGTCTTGCTCTGTTACCCAAGCGCTGGAGTGCAGTGGTGCCATCTGGGCTCACTGCAACCTCTGCCTCCTGGGTTCAAGCAATTCTTGGGCCTCAGCCTCCTGAGTAGCTGAGATGACAGGTGCACACCAACCACACCTAGCTAATTTTTGTAATTTTAGTAGAAACCAGGTTTTGCCATGATGGCCAGGCTGATCTCAAACTCCTGGCCTTAACTAATCTGTCCACCTCAGCTTCCCAAAATGCTGAGATTGCAGGCATGAAGCACTGTGCCTGGCCAATTTTTATCTTGAAATAATTTAATCTCACATAAAAGATTCAAGAAATAATTATATATACATTTTTACTGAGATCCATCAATTGTTAACATTTTACCACAGGTATTTTATCATCCATTCATCTGTCTAATTTTTACTTTTTAACCACTTGAGAGTAAGTTACAGAAATCTTGGCCCTTTACTTCTAAATTCCTAAATGTATATTTCCAAGAGTAAGGACCTTCACTTACATAATTACAGAACAGTGGCCAAAATAAGGAATTTTTTTCTTTACCATTGATATTGTTACCTACAAAGCTTATTTACAATCCATCAATTGTCCCAGTAACATCCTTGTAGTCATTTTTCCTACTTCTAGATCTAATTCAATATTATGCATTGCATCTAGTTTCCATCACACCACACCTTTGTGACATATGCACATACATGCACACTTCATACCTCCATAACATCAGGTCATTGTGGCACTAATATTCACCAAATAAGATCTTGGGGTTCTTCCTATACCCATCTCCCTTTTCTTCTTGGATATACAATAAAATAATAGTAACAGCAAACAAAGGAAGTAAACAAAGAAAAGATCTTGAGAAATTTATGTAATTATGTCTTTTTAAAATCCCCTTTAAAGGATGATGCTTAAGTATGGGAGACTGAATGAAAGGTGTAAAAGGTTATGAATCGTCTTCCCCTAACTCATGATGCCTCTGTAGGTTACACTCTGCAAAACTTGCACAGGAAGGCATTCAGTGCACAGAATAGTTCCAGCACAACAGGAGAACACCTCACCTGGCTGACAGGAGGTCTGTGAGCTGTGGGAAGAACCCAATCTTTACCTGAAGGCTTGAAGTCAAAAAGGAAATGGCAAGACATTGAACAAGGGGAAAGGTGAAGTCAGTAGCCAAAGAAATTGCCAAAATAAGCCTCAAACCAGAGGAACTAGATAATCAAAACAAAGGCATAAGCATGTACTGATATGTAGAGGAAGTCACCATAGAGTGTGATTTGTGAGAAAAAAAAAGAACAAAAGTAAAGAACATGTTCATTTTTAATTTTGTAAACATCCTTTGCTGGATATATATAATTAACTTGTGGCAGTGGAGTTATGAATAATAAGTGAATTTTATGCTCTTGTTTATCTTCTTAAAGTTTTACAATAAATATTTCCTTTTACTATTAAATCATTTCACATATGCAGAGACAACTAGCTAGCTAGAGACATACTACATATTCAAATAAGAACAAAAATCAGTTACCAATTGAGTGATAGAAGCTGGGTCTGAGACAGCAGCCCTGTGAATGGCGAAAGCTCAGAAGAGCGGACTAGTTCAGACTGATTTCTGGGGAGACTCCCAGAGGGACTGGGGTTTTTGAGCTCTTCAATGGACTTGGAACCACTGGAGATGCTGTTCATCATATTAGTGAAGTCACTTGTTACATGAACCCCATTTACATAATTGTATATGTGTAAATGAGTACCTTGGTTCCTTCATAGTTCCTAATAACTACTTAGGATGTCCACATGTTATTTTTCTTACCTTATAGTAGATTTGGGGTCTGGCGGATGGTAAAGATGATAATCTAAAAGTGTTTGCTAGTGTTACTCCACAACACTAAAAATCTCACCTAAATCACCCTATCTACATGCAATGTTCAACAAGGCTTCCTTTTCGGTTATATTAGGACACTCCAAACTTATATGTCTGGCTCCGATTGGGGTCTCAGGGAATTTATGGTGTTTTCCTTTGCTGAGTAAAATGTCAGTGTTGTATGTTTCATCATTGATGGAATCACCATTTTCAGGAGCACAAAATCACAGAGGTAGAAAATGAGCTGGTGAGGGAATTTAAATGTGTTTTACTTTTTATTTTTTAGCTGGAGTCAGTGAGGCTGTGTCCTTAGCTACATTCCCACCAACACCATCTGCCAAACCACAGTGAACTTGCACACATTCCTATGGATAGTTTCTAGGTGCTTACCAGTCTTTGGAAAGTGGGTATACACGTGCCAAATCATTTCCTTCTGAAAGCCAGGTACTGCGGGGTATAGGTCTCTTGGTGGCTTTGTTTCTACGTTTGAATTTGAAGTTCTAAGGGGCAACATATTAGCTGAGCACACTTACAGATGATATTTCAAGGTGGCTGTTGATGCATAAATAAAACTTAGAAGTTTATAAGGAGCAACCAGCAAATTTGGGGGTGAGATTCTTATATTATCTATTTGCTCTCTGCTCTCCACCAAGCCCTTTGCTTATGTGAAGGTAATAAAGCATTGTACACAGAAGACAAGTAATGAAGAGAAAGGAGATCTTCTAAATTCTGTCCCCAGAGTCCCCCACACTTGCTGATTGACTGATGCTGCAGTTGTCCTCCTTTGGCTCTCACTAGGCTTCTTGTTGGCTGATTGAGAAAGAGAGTCCTAGTTTCAGGATTACCCAGAAGACCATGGCAAGACTGGCACAAAAATGGGCTGGGAGTGGGTGAGTGGAGGCCACATCCTTACGCGACCTTACAGGATAGTTTGTCTGGAATATGGAAATTTAGGATGCTTCATTTACAATCAGAAGATTCTAACAATATAAAATTTCTTCTTATTTCTTATAGCTTCTAGGTCTTGAATGTCTAGTATATGCCAGACACAATTCTCTTAACAACCTCTGAAAAGCAGGAGTATTCTTGCTCTACATATAAAGAAACTGATGCTCAAATTTAAGTGGCTTTCTCAAAATTACGTAGCTAGTAGAACAAAGACACATGCTTTAAAGCTGTGTCTATCTGACCTCAAATTCCATGTTCTTTTCCGTAAATGTATTGCTATTTTATTCACTACTGATTGTCTTTCATGTTTGCTTGCTCAAAATGAATTTAATATTCTCCATTAATCAAATGATGCCTACCAGTTTACCTGAATAAAAAGGAAGGTAATCTTTGGCATCTCTGACTTTCTGTTAAAAATCTTTTTCCAGTTTTTGCCACCCCATCCTCAAATATTCCAGCCCTCTAGCACATCCCATTGTTAGCACCATCTTGCTTTCTGAGGCAGATAGAAGAAATGCCTGATCTCTCTAATTTCTCTTATTTTTCTTCCTGGTCAACATATCTGCTTTTCCTGTCTCATTCATATACACTGATAATTTAATTTATGCTGAAGTAAGAATGAGATTATAGAATGTGTTATAGCCCTCACTCAACACACACAAGATCTGTGTATAGGTGAAGGTTTCCATAGAGATAAAAATCTTAATTCTATGGGATGATTCTAATGGTGGGGACATGAGCCCCCATAGAAGATTGTGGGCATGTTATGGAGTGGCTGTATGTTTCTCTGCTCTGAGTTCATAACACATAATTGTCAGGGTTGACAGAGAGTCAGTCTGTGCATTTCTGATAAATTTCAAGTTAGCTTATTAAAATGTTTTTTAAGAAGCTATTAGATACTATTGGAGCCCCAGGAGCATTTCCCAAAAAGGGCTCAAAGAAAGCCCCAAAGATGCCCCAAATGTGCTCAAAAGTACTCAAAAATGCCCCAAAAGAGCACTTTCTTGCTCTGTCTGCATCAGAAAATAACATTCTACATATAAAAGGAACACGAGCCTCCAAAAGGGGCTGAGATTGTGAAGTCTCCAAGCTCAGTTGAATATAAGCCTGGCCAAATGTGTTGTCCTCACTCTCCTCTGCTATGTTGCCAGCTGGTAGAGTTAGTTCAGTTTTACTGTTTAAAGTTTCCTTTTGGGCTAATAAATATTTCTAAAATATTGTATTGCTTTAGCACTCACACCATGGCAATGTAAATCAATTCCCACCTCTATTATGTAAGTTTGTGATTTTTACCCCTACAAAAATTCCATGGCGATATTACAGGCTTTATATTGGCTAATAATAGACTATGGTGGTGGTCTGGTGGAAACAACTATGGGTGGGATTTGGAGGAGAGAAATGGTCATCTCGTGGGCGGCAGAATTCATGGAAGAGATGGAAGCTGTTGTTCGGTTTTCCCCTGGCTGGGGATGCCCATTTTGCTTCACGTATTCCAAGGGGCCACAGGTCAAGGACACAGTTCTTCATTTTTATCTCAACGGATAATTTGCGTAAGGTAGCATCTTTTGGGAAGGGAAAATCAGGGTAGAGAAAAAGGCCAGAAGCTTATTCATAAAAAAGGCCTGAGAAGGTTGGAAGTTTTTAGGACAAGGCCAAGGAACTGAGAGATCATAGCCTTCAACTTCATGATGATTAAGAATTTGCTACCCTTGCATGCATGTGTGCCCTAATGAGCAGTAATGTGCCTGTCTGCAATAATCATTTTATAAATATTAATGCAGCTTTATGAAATTGGTACTTGATTTTAAGTGTGACATTTTATTTGTAAGTGCATATTTTAATTATGTCCATAAAACATTGATTAATTAAAATTTGCTGCTGTTTTGTGACTTGGGAGCCAGACAGGTTTGTACTAAGGAGCAGTGTCTGAGGTGTGCTGTTTTAAGGCAGAGAAACAAGGTGGGAGACAGTCAACTAAAGGAATATCTGATTGTTCATGAGACTACATATTTTTGGAATTGAGCATTGCTCATCAGTACAGCTCAGTTGTACTATGTCTGCAACCCTGACCTATCAGAGTGGAGTTACCATCATTTTAGGAATATAAAAATTTTCTCTAGGAAGAAATCTGAAATATTTAAAGTACTAATGATGAAAACTGTATTTTAGAAGTGTTATAGAATGAGTTGATATCCCCCCCCCCAAATTTATATGTTGATGCTCTAACTCCCATGTGATTAAATGTGGAGATAGGGCTTTTAGGAGGTAATTAAGGTTAAATGAAGTAATAAGAGTGGGGCTCTAATCCTATAGGATTGATGTCCTTATAAGAAGAGAACTCTCTGTCTCTCTCCCACATGTGAAATATAATGAGAAGGTAGCTCTCAGCAACCCAAGGAAAGAGCCCTCACCAGACATTGACCCTGCTAGTACCTTCATTTTGGACTTCCCATCCTCCAGAACTGTGAAAAAATAAACGTCTGGTTTTTAAGTCACCCAGTTTATTTTGTTATGGCAGTCTGAGCTTATTAAAATAAAGTTACTCAAAGGGGAGGAGCAAAAGGTTATTAGAAATAAGGCAGAGCTATCTAATTGTAGCAGGGCATCATGCTAGGGCCTGGGCAACAATAGAATAATGTTAGCTTGGAGGAACTGGGACTTGGGAACAAGATAAGCCAGAGTTTGGGAAGTTTGTGCAAATGCAGGAAGACAAGATAATAAATGAAGGGAGGTGAGCTGACAAAGAGGGATGTGGATCTGGTTCTAGAGACACAGAAAGGATTCAAGGATGTAAAGATGATAGAATTCTCCGGTAAAGCTTGGTGAGTTATAATCCACGAGTCTTTTTTTTTTTTTTTTTTTTTTTTAACCTGTGTTACTCTTCCTGTGGGCATGAATGCCCTTAGGCCATGGACCAACAGTGTATACAGAGGTTAGCGGGTTGTAAAAGGCTTTGGCTCTGACAGAGACAGCCGCAGAGATGCTAATGTAGAAATACTTAATGTAGATGATGGGTTGATAGGTGCAGGAAACCACCATGGCACGTGTATACCTATGTAACAAACCTACACGTTCCGCACATGTACCCCAGAACTTAAAGTATATATATAAAAAAAAACACTTAATGTCCAAAAAATTGAGGAATGACTAAATGAATGTACAGTGATACATGATATTAAGAATCAGATTGCAAGAATCATATTGATATTTGTTAAGTGATGAAGTATAACCTAAGACATATCTATACGATATGAATGTGTCAAGTATAATCAAAATTATTTTTTAAAATGTATACACACATACAAATGATGAAAACACAAAACCCCTAATGAGTAAAATAAGTTATTTCTGGATGTTGGGGCTATTCTAATTTTATGTCTTGTGCTTTTAATAATTTTTTCCAGAATAAATACATCTTACTTTGAAACCACAATTTAAAAATTACTCTATTTTTTTAAAAAGTTGATAAGGGTGAAGAATGAGTTGGTTGAAGGGCTACCACAGAAGACATGGTCACTTTTGCTACAACTTCTTTTAGATTGTTTGGATATTTCTTCAGTTCCTAGGTTTACATAATGTTGCAATGGAGGGAGAGGCTAAACAGAAGATTTTAACCACTCCCTATTCCCTCCACACACACACAGAAAATTGGGTAATGTGACCCCTGTGTTTCATTAGCTCCTGACTACACACATGTAGCACCCAACTGCTTTTTTCCATATTCAAACAAGACAGAGTGAAAAACAGGACAAGGCACTGACAACAATGTAACCCTATCGGGCAGCCACAGACACCACCTCTCATATCCATATTTCTCACAGCACCAATGATATCAGGTCAGTCATTATTATCTCAATCTCAGGAAGGTCGGATCACTTATAAATCTTTAAGAGAGGAGATGGCTTGAGTGCCTTTTGCCTCATAGCTGGTGTTCTTTGTGAGAGATATAAGATTCTTGGGGTGGGAAAAAAACGGAAGACTGTGTTATTAGCTGTTGTGGGGTTGGGCAGAGGGGAGATTGAGTATATAAGAATCTGAAAAATAATTGGCACCAACATGGGATAAAAATGGATATGTTACATCCACTGAATGTAGCAACTGACTTATAAAAACATCCTAAAATAAATACTGCTGTCTACAATTGGTAAATATATGAAAAGTGGCTTTTATCTTTTTCCTTCAATCCCAGTTCTCTAACACAACCTTAGCTCACTTTGAAGGCACTTTTGCTGTATTATTTTTGTCAAGATAACAGCCTTCTGCCAAGAGTTAGTGGAGTCATGCAGTATTCATCTGTCATATATAAAAGCTGACACTGTCACCAAACCAAGAGCACCATGTCTTATAAGACTTTGTAAACTCAAAATAATGACAGTTGTCAACTCTCACAGGGCTGAGAAACTTAACCTTCTAAGATATAAATCTGAGAAGTTACTGTTTTGCTGATGTGTGATGGAGACTCATGCAGATCAGAGTTTATGAAACAAAATAATAGCTTTTTCCTCTTTTAGGCCACAGTGAGATGCAGGAAGGTTTTAGTGATTTTCTTTACCATTTCATGATGGATCCAATTTGAGAGGAATGTGTCAAATGTGGAGAAATGTCTGGTGCCCTTGCAGAAATGCTGGAAGTAATGACTCAGGAACAAACCTGGTGTGAATGAAACCCCCATCTCAGTCTTGGGAAGACTCGTTCTTTTTTTTACCAGCTTGTATTTCTAGGGAGGAACCGAATTGGTTCAAGTGAAACACTAATGGGTTCAGCCCTCAAGTAACTTGAAAAAAATCAGATGTCAATGTTGGAGATCATAATAAGGTTAAGCAAATAATGAGAAGAGACATGTTTCAGTGATGGTCATTATATTAAGAGACTAAAGTGGCTTTATTTGTTCCTCTAAAAATTTCCTGCAACATAGGATCATGGCAGCTAAAGAGCAGATTTTTTTTTTATCTCCAATAGATAAATGAGTATTTATCAGAGACTGACATTATTCAAGTCAGCTGGGTTTAACCTCCAAGTCTTCTGGTACTCTGAAAAATACTCTTAAAGAATGTTTTTCTGTTTCTTTGTTTAACCCTTTTCACCTGCCAAGTGTCCCCTGGAAATTTGAAGACTCGCCCTGTCACAACTCAGTATGTTGAGTTCCACTTCTCTCAATGATTGGTGATCTGGGGCTACTCTTGCTATGGTCAGAAGCAGACTTTTAGCAATGAAGCAATCCATCAAGTGCATCATTTCTTTTCAAAGTGCATAGGAGATTGAAAAGCAGATTGAAATCTTGCAAATTTGGAACTCGTATATGTATCACCTGTTAACATGTAGAGACATTGAAATTGTAATTTAAAATAAGCATATGTTATGTTGATGAAAATATCCTTTACTATTGCCTGAAGTTTAGTGTTTGTAACTTATGGTACTGAGGCCGAGATGCCCAGGTGAGTGCCTAAACTGAAATATGCTTCACTCACAACCTGGAGCAGATTCTGTCTTGGATCTTTTGTACTGTTGAGCTAATCCATATAAATTGAACTCTTAGATGATTCAATGGAATGCACAACTGAGACATTGTACAAACAGTGGAAGATCCGAAAGCACAGAAATCACTTGATCCTCTTCATCAGGGAAGTCAGCCTATTTTTCACATGTTTTGAAGAGCATGGGAAGATCATGGCAATCCCACTGTT
Organism: Homo sapiens; assembly: GCF_000001405.40. Classification (NCBI taxonomy): domain Eukaryota; kingdom Metazoa; phylum Chordata; class Mammalia; order Primates; family Hominidae; genus Homo; species Homo sapiens. The sequence goes on along the minus strand of NT_187615.1, from coordinate 6,732 downwards.
ACCTTCTACTCTATATTATGCTACACATGCTCAAAATCCTCAGCCTCAGGAACACTCTGGTCTTGTTCTTTTGAAGGAAAGGAAAATAGAAGAGATTTGAATTAACTGATCTCTACCAGACCTTGCAGTTAAAAATTTCTATCTAGTTAACAAGTACTGTTAGTGATGAATCACTCTGGGTACATTTTGGATTATGATTTACCTGGAGCATTCTGTTTATTCTGTAAAAATGCATTTATGTTCTTAAGGTCTGCACATCACCAGAAGAATTAGGGTTCCATTTTGGAAGCTTTATTATGCATAAAATTAATTGAATCAAATTTAGCATGTTCATCTATTTAAGAGGGACAATGCTTTCTCTGGACAAATATAGTGGAAATACAAATACTGCTTCGGACTAGAAGGTGAGGGTCTCTGTAATCACAAGTCTTGTGTTAAAAGATATACTTCCCCCATAGCATATTGTATGCACAGACATCCATAACTTCCTAACAGGAGTGTACCCTAGAAAATAATTGGACCTTTGACCTTTGGAGATGTATAGTTTCTTATTACATTTAACATGGAAAGGGAGGTTGGATGTGTATATGGAAGTGACAAAAATGAAGGTAAGTCTTCTTTAAGTATTTTGTATTATGGTTCAATTAAAATTAAAAGAACAGATAAGAGGAAACTTGACTGATAAATTTCAAAACATTTACAGTGAAAAAAACCCATGCATACCAAAAATATAAGTGTACAAGATTTACTTTGCTAAATCATCTTTTTTTCTCTCTTGAATGGTTTCAGATTTTTTTTTTAAATATAGTACAGGGACTATATATACAGTAACACCAAGCTTTTAACAGCTGTATTTTCCCCCTTTTGCTATCGTAATTATGGTCTCGTTAAGATTCCAATAAAAAGGCAAGAAAAACCTTTTTTAAAAGGAAAACAGAAGTGCTCACAGTGTCTCTCTACCAACATGCTATGCTTTTAAAATATTTGCATTTGAAATTCCTCACTGCAAATATTCTCAAACCAAAGGTAAATATAACACTTAGATTACTCCCAGAAGAACATTCCTTCTGCTATTAATACCCTGAATTCAAATCTTTTTGCAAGTCTGTATAATTTTACTCTATGTGCTTTATCCTGCAGTTTGGCAAGCTGTAAGTGTTAGGAAACTAGATGCATCAGAAATGAATAGAAGGTGGCATCTCTTGCCTGGGTGAACACTTTTTTTTTGTTTCCCATTTCATAAAGCAGCCTATTTACAATAGCAGATTCATGGGGATAGACTCTTCAGTTAGACAAGAACAAAGAGTGGTCTTCTCAAAAGAAAACATCAAGCACAGATCAGTAGATCATTAGACTAAGTTAGGAAAAAAATAAGTATTCAGCTCTCTTCTATATTATTTTATGTGTTGTCTTCTCTCTTTCAACCCATACCACCTTCTCTTCATGGCAATAGCCAGTGTTTGTTAAGCCTCAGTGTTTTCAACCTTCCTGCTATGCAATCAGGAACTCCTCACACTGCGTTATATTTAGAAACGGTTGTTTCTGACATGGGTTGGTTCTGTGTCCCCACCCAAATCTCATCCTGAACTGGAATCCCACGAGTCAAGGGAGGGACCTGGTGGGAGGTGATTGGATCGTGGGAGCAGTTTCCCCTATACTGTTCTCATGATAGTGAGGGAGTTCTCACGAGATCTAATGGTTTAAAAGTGGCAGTTTCCCCTTCACTCTTTCTCTCTGTCTCTCTCTCCTGCTGCCTTGTGAAGAAGGTACTTGCTTCTCCTTCACCGTCCATGATTGCAGGTTTCCTGTGACCTCCTCAGCCATGTGGAACTGTGAGTCTGTTAGACCTCTTTCCTTTATAAATTACCCAGTCTCAGATAGTGTCTTTATAGCAGTGTGAAACAGACTAATATACTTTCTAATCACAGATTGTTTATGTGTTGACCCATTATCTGGACTTCTATGTTTTTATAGGGTTAATACATGAAATTAATCCAAACTAAGGTATTACAGATATTATTTCAAAAGTAGTTTATAATACCTCCACCAAGAATGTGAAAATAAGGTAATTTAAGGCCTTATTATAGACAGGATAATAAAAAATGTAGAACTTCCATTCTATATTTTCTTAGTGGCTTGATGTACTCCCTATGAACAACTCCACACTTGAGCCCTAACCACAGCAAAAAGTTGGATATAGAAAAGGATGTAGCCACAGTGAGGACATGGCTTGTATTTTCCAGAGAGGTTTCCACTGCAACAATTGGGAGCAAGACCAAGATGGTGGAAATTTTGAGAGCAAATCAAAGTGAAGAAGTACAGTCAATAATGCAGATAATTAAGAAAAGTTGCCTAAGAAGACCAGGAGAGAGATAGAGAAGGGGGAGGTTTTTGCCTTGTTTTTTCAATGATGACTGATGTTTTTGAGTTGAATTGTCAAAGAGAAGGGATTGGTAGAGACAGAGAAATGGAACATCATAATTAAGGAGAAACAACTGAGTGAGTTTCCAGACCGGGAAACAGACAAGGGTCAGAGTCCACTGAACAAAGTAGAACAATTTGGTGTGATTTTGTTCTTTGATTCCATGTTTATAGTGCATTAGTATTTTATCTTTGACTATTATATACATTTATTCTATACATACATATGTACAACATATTCCCTGTTGATTTGTTTAGTTCTAATGTTTCTGGTTTGGTGTGAATATTAGTAAAATAATATTTTAATTATTAAAAATAGAATAGCAGGAGGACACCACTCCCACAGAGGATGGAAGGTAGGAGGCAAGGATGTATATGAAGATAAAATGGGTCAGAATTCAGATACTAAGGAGCTTTTACCTAAGAGACTTCATTTTATATTTTTTTCTGAAACAACTTAACTAGTTCATCCTCCAGGAGGAAGAAGTATGATACAGATAGGGAGGTGGGATAAGAAATTTTTAGAGACTGGTAATGTCTGAACTGATGACTTTTGGGCATGAGAGAGAATGATTTTCCTGGAATATATTCCCATAAGTGGGATTACTGAGTTAAATATAAGATTTTTTATGGTTTTTTATAAGCATTGCCAATTTTTCCTTCCAGAAAAGTTTTGCCATTTGTACAGCATCCAACATGAGAATGAGATGTGGTTACCTGAGCCAGCCCCACCTGGTCTGGCCCCTGCCTTTCTCTGTAACTTCCTTTCTTGCAATTCTCACTCATTGACTCTCCCCCAAGCATGCAGGCCTGCGTAATTCCTCCAACTTTCACCTTCATTCCTGCCTCATATCTTGGTTCTTACATCTCTCAACTAGATGCCCAAAGGTCATCTCCTTAGAGGGGCATTCCTTGAAGTATCCCACGTGACACTGCCCTACTCCTCAGCTAGGTCACTCTCTAACCCCTTCCTTTGCTTGATTTTCTTTATCGTACTTATCTTTATATGAGTTATACTCTTTATTTTTAACTTTCAATTTGTTTTGTTTCATCTAGTAGGATATATGTTTGAGAAAGATGGAAACTTGGTAATACTAAACACGATCTTTTGAACTACCTGAAAAATACTTGGCAAAAGGTAGACACTGGGTAATTTTTGGATAAACGAATGAATAGAAAATAATTACTTTTCATTTAACTACATTCTTACCAACACTGGATATTCTCATCTAAAATAGTGTTGCTACACAGATATTTCAAAATTTTGAACACCATTTAGGAAGACATTTGGGAAACACAGATGTATTAGAAAGAATCCTGTCCTAGGGTCAACCACTTTAGTACTCATTATTCATCAGTAATTTTTAGGCAAGCTTTTTAACTTCTCTATGCCCGTTTCTTTTCTTTTTCCTTTTTCATTTTTAGACTCAGAGGGTACATTTGCTTGTTTGCTCCACGGGCATTACATGCATCACTGTGGGGACTGGGTTTCTAGTGTACCTACCACCCCAATATTGAACATCGTACCCAATAGATAATTTTTCAACCCTCACTCCCCTCTCAACCTCCCCAGTTTTGGAGTCTCCAGAGAATATTATCTCTACCTTTATGTCTGTACGTACCTGTGGTTTAGCTCCCACTTATAAGTGAGGACGTGCAGTATTTGATTTGCTGCTTGTGAGTTAGTTAACTTAATGGCAGTAGTATTATTTGTTATTCAATTAATAGTTTAAACATATTTGTGTTTTTACTTAAACAAGTTATTTGAAGAGGAACTCCAGATCACTAACATATATAGAAAGTCAGTATTTTACTAATACCATTAATATAATCATATAAAAATTACCATTACACTGAAAGAGAAGGGGAGAAATTGAAATTGTTTTTAAAAATTATCAGTGAATATTTTTAAAACTAAAAAGAAAATAAAATGCTATTGCTAATTTCATGAGACATTTGTATTCCCTTTTATAGATTATGTCCTATTCTTTTCTCATTTACCTATTGGGATCTTGGTAATTTTCTCATTGATTTCTGTGAACTCTGTATATGATAAAGATATTATTCATGACTAACATTTGTTGCACATTTACTGTAGTTTAATATATTACCATTAATTTTGTTTACATATGGACAAATTTCAAGAGTTAGATCTATGAAATATGTTTTTATTTCTTCCGTGGTGTTTGATTTAGCAAGACATTTTATTACCTTAGGTTTGATCACTTTTTGCTTTAATTTTTTTTCCAGTGTTAAACATTATATTTTTTAATGGCTGACTTTTAATCTTCTTTGAATTTACTTTGATATACGGCATGGAAAAGGTATCAAACTAGGTATTTCCCCAAAATAATCAGACCAGTTTCCCCCAAATTTTCATTGAACTGTTTTCTTTCTCTCTGATTTTTGCTGGTGTGGCTTTGTTTTTATGGATTTCATACTATAGATTAGCATTTTATCTATGAGTATCATATACATTCATCGTATACATACATATGTATAATCTGTTCTTTGTTGATTTGTTCAACCTTTCTAGTCTTACTGACTAGCTTTAAATATTAGTACAATTCTATTTTAACTGTTGAAACATTATAAGTTTTTATTTCACACATTTTAAATAAATTATTTGAAAACCAACAATTATGCAACTTTTAATATGACTATTTTTATTATTCAGAAACTTGGTGTGTGTCATTATATAATAAGTATATGTTTTGTTTCAGAATTATAATTGTCTACATAACATTATCACAGGAGACATATCCTTAAGAGTATTTCTAGAAACTTTAGAGTTTTTTATTTGATGTCCTGTTATGAATGAAAGATTTTATCCATTCTACTTTCTGGTTTTGATAAAGATTTATATAAACGATCCTTCTGAGTCACTGAATACTTTAATTCTAATATATTTTCAACAGAACCTTTTGGAATTTCTAATACAACCAACTTATTTAAAATAATGATAAAATTCTTATTTTCTTCTTTATAATATACAAGGCTTGAATTTACAATGAAATGTATTTCATTGTCTAGGACTTCCAAAATAAAGTTAAATGTTACCAGTTGGCTCTTTGAACTTACGTAATCTGCTGACTTGACATACTTACCTGCATTAGGCATCGTGCTAATTATTGGCTTGTAAAAGTATTTCTTTATCATGTTAAATAGTATCCTGCCACTTTTGTGTTGAAGAAGAATTAGGTACTTAATCTGGTAAAATACCTTGTCATCTTTTATTTGGATAATGATGGGTTTTGTGGTAGTTCGTATTTGTCCAATTAATGAGATGTACCATATTGATAAGTTTTATAATATTAAACAATTCTTTCTTTCCTTGGTTATGTTTTTCACTCTTGAACTGGTTATTCTGGCATGATGTCTAAACAAACTGACTATAAACGCAGATGCTCAGTGATAGGAATATATGGCAGTATTGATTCCTTTGACTGCCCGAAGCTGTATGTATATTCAAAGGCAGACAAAAAGCAGAGGTTAAGCAACCAGCTGGTAAATTTGATCAACATTGACAAATAATCTTGGCCACTGAGCTCCAACATCCAGTATTTTTTTTAAGAGCATATTTTGGCCTAAATTCTTTAGCTAATTACTTGAACTTCCCTTGTGCTGATATACGGGTAAGAAACTTGAAAGGAATTCTTTCCTTATTCACCACTTTGTTTACTGGAAGTGAGGTCTGGTGTCTTTAAAAGGATAGAAATCTCTAAAATTGCCATGTTACATAAGGCATAACCTATTAAGCAATGGACCATTGATCTACCTGAAAGAATGATCATAGAGCATTCTATATATGACTGGGGTTCCAAGCAATGTTATAAAGTGAATAATAACTATTATTTCTTTATAATTTTGGAGTATTGGAATGAATTAAATTAATATTAAATAAATGTTTCTTTCTTTCTTTCCTTCTTTCTTTCTTTCTTTCTTTCTTTCTTTCTTTCTTTCTTTCTTTCTTTCTTCCTTTCTTTCTTTCTTTCTTTCTTTCTTTCTTTCCTGAGATGGAGTTTTGTTCTTATTGCCAAGGCTGGAGTGCAATGGTACAATCTCGACTCACTGCAGCCTCCACCTCCTGGGTTCAAGTGATTCTCCTGCCTCAGCCTCCAGAATAGCTGGATTACAGGCACCCGCCACTATGCCCAGCTAATTTTTGTATTTTTAATAGAGATGGAGTTTCACCATGTTGGCCAGGTTTGTCTTGAACTGACCTCAGGTGATCCGCCTGCCTCGGCCTCCCAAAGTGCTGCGATTACAGGCGTGAGCCACCACACCCGGCCTAAATAAATATTTCTAAAA